>NC_000001.11:241335636-241487151 GCF_000001405.40 Homo sapiens | reverse complement strand
GTTATCTTTTATCACTTGACACTTATGAAGAGTATTGATCTGTTGTTTTGTTTTAGAGATGAGGTCTTGCTGTGGTGCCCAGGCTGGAGTTCAGTGACCAGTCACAGGTGTGATCATAGCTCACTGCAGCCTCAAACTCCTGGCCTCAAGACATCTTCCTGCCTCAGCCTCCCAAGTGGCTGGGACCACAGAGTGCAACATGCCTGGCTGGATCATTTGTTCTATAGAATGTCTGCCAATTTGAATTATTCTGATACTTTCTCATAATTGGAATGAAGTTATGGATTTTTGGCAAGAATACCACAGAAATGATGTTGTGGTGTCCTCAGGGCATCATACTAAGGGGTTGATAATCTCTGTGTCTTATTATTGATATTTACTTTGATTGCTTTGGTTAAGTGGGTGTCTGCCATGTTTTTTACTATAAAGTTACCATTTTTCCCTTTGTAGTTAGTATGTATCTTAGGGAAATATGTTGAAACTATGCAAAATCTATTCTCAAACTTTCAGCCACAAATTTTTGCATCCATGAGAGTACCTTATCTGTCTGTGACAGTTACTATTGTGGTGGTTGCCTAATGGCGATTATGGTTTTTTATCTAATACATTTATTTAAATTCTACTATGAGGAAGAGCCATTTCTTTCCCTGTTTGTTCACTTATTTTATTATTTATAACAATTTGGAACCATAGATATTTATTTTATTCTATGTGTTCAGTACTACCATTATTTACTTTGTGACTCAATTTGCTCTAACATTAGCCAGTCAAGTGGGTCCTTGTGCTTAAACAAGCCTTAATTATTTTTTGTTTTTATTGATTTATTTTTTAGTGTTTCCTTTATTTTCTGGGACCACAAGATGTTCTTTACTTTCTACTCCTATGACCTCCAAACATTTCCAAAATAGGACTGATCCCATGAGGCACTCTATTAACTTTGAAGTGGTAAGCTAATGAGTTCATGTGACTGGTAGTATCTACTCTGTGAATTAGTTCTCTTCTGTGTAGCAAGCTACACAATTGTCAAATAAGAATCACCTGTGCCTATTACTGTTACATACTAGTCGTGGCTGAATATTTGCCAAATACCACGCACAAATGAAAAACAATAAGCTGACTTCATGCTTTTGCTTGGGGAATTGTATGTATGTTGTGTGTGTCTTCAAACGAATCAAGGAAATTTTAGATTGTTGTAGATGCTTCGAGGGATATGGGGGCTGATTTTTTAAAAAGCAATACATGACCACAAGGTGGCAATAGCACAGATGAGCTTTATTTGCCTTTGACAGGTTTGCATGCAGGAGAAGTCCCTCAGAGCAGGAGAAGTCCCTCAGAGCATGAGGTCTTCCGGAGTTTAAAGTACGGGAAGCCACCACTCAGAAAGAGTGGAGGGCAAGGGGACTTCCAGGGAAGAGGGAAATTTGATAGAGGGCTATGTGTCTAGGTAACATCATTAGCAGCATGGCAAGAGTGACTCAGACAGCTCCAAAGGGCAGCAGCAGCTTGGGGTCTTTAGGGCCCAGAACTTATCTATTGCTAGCAGATGTTTGGTGCAGTTTTACTGAGTACACAATACAGACAGGCTCTAAGTGGCTACAAATATGCTTATTTAGACTATCTGCTTGTTTGGACCGATCTAACAATTGGATGTGTAAAAATTTGAGTTTGGAGCTGTCAGATTTTTGAGTTAGCGGGTCTCTGCCTGCAGTGAAGAAATAAACAATCTAGGGCCCCATACACAGATGCCATTGTTGACTCATTTATATAACATTCATAAAGTAGCACTATGATTTTTCATGCTACATCAACTCTCAGTTTCAGGAATGTAATGAATGATTATTAAAGGTGAGCTGCATGGCTGAGCAGCTTGTCAATCTTGATTTACACAGTAAGAATGATACATTATTAGCATAGGACTATTATAGAAGTAAGAACTTAAAACCTGCGTTACAATTCTATTCCTCCCACCATTTGGGCATCCAGTGAGAAGCTGAAGATGGCATGCAAATCCTGATAATCTACTCACTCCATATCCAAGGGGACTTGGGGAGAATCTGAGGTGGCACCTGTGGTGGAGTGGACAATGTTGGACTTGGAGTTCAAAGTCATCTCCAGATCCTGATACTGTTGTTTGCTTGTCCCATGACCCATAGGTAGAGGATTTAATTCTGTAAAAGCAGTCTTCTCTGCAAAATGGGAATAGAACTGTCTAACTCACATGGTTATTGTTGGTGCTAGAACAACACCAACAACATTACATCCTGAGTCCCAGAACATAAATGCTACCCCGAATGAACTTTTATAGACTGTTTATAGTCCATGTGATGACATAATAGATGATCTCCCTACCTGATGTGACTGGAATGGTATGGAGACAGCCACTCTGCAATGTTGACTCAAAGATCCACTACATTATAATGCTCCAAGAAGATAAGGAACACATGTATTTTGTCTACTTCTGAATATCCAAGATTTTACCGGGTACCTGACATACAGTAAGTACTATATAAAGACATTATTTGAACAACTTCTTTGAGAAAACCTCAATTGAATGCATTTATGGAAAATAAGTTCTAGATATCTATGTACAACATTGTGCCTAGAGTCAGCAATGCTATGCTGTGCACTTGAAAATTTGTTAAGAGGATAGATCTCATGTTAAGTGTTCTCATGAAACAATCCCTGATAAATGCAAATATCTATTAAATAATTAATGTCTTGGTTCATAATAATCAATCAAATTAACTTCACTTAGCAGTATCCTAAGGGAATGGGGCATAATTTTGATGAAAGGAGGTTTAGAGCATGGGATATTGTTGAGTAAGGAGAGCATGGCTAAAGTGCTGGGGCAGGTGGTCGCCAAACAGCCAGTAGGGAGTCAGAAGAGGTTAAATGCACTGGGAGGGAAACACTCAAACCTAAGAGAGGGCTTATGAATATGGTCACTTAAAACAAACACGGACAACTTCCTAAGGATGAGTTCTGTGCCTATACAACTTTTCATGTAAATGAAGCTCTATCTTGCTGGGGATAATATATGATGGAATTAATTGTATCTTGGACATGGTTCGTGTTTCCTAGAGGTGCTATAGAAAAGGATAGACACGTCCAGGCGCAGTGGCTCACGGCTGTAATCCCAGCACTTTGGGAGGCCGAGGGGGGCGGATCACGAGGTCAGGAGATCGAGACCATCCTGGCTAACATGGTGAAAGCCCGTCTCTACTAAAAAAATACAAAAAATTAGCTGGGCGTGGTGGCAGGCGCCTGTAATCCCAGCTACATGGGAGGCTGAGGCAGGAGAATGGCGTGAACCCGGGAGGCGGAGCTTGCAGTGAGCCGAGATCGTGCCACTGCACTCCAGTCTGGGCGACAGAGCCAGACTCCGTCTCAAAGGAAAAAAAAAAAATGAGAAAGGGATAGACACCCATTTTTGCAGACTCCACAAGCCAGTTATCTCTGAAGGCTGGACAGTCTGTGGACAGCTGCTGTGTGCAGACAGCAGCACAGGAAAAGGAAGACAGAGGAGAGGGAGTAGAGGATGGTAAGTGACAGACACATGGATCCAGGGAAGAAGAAGAGAAGCAGTGAAAAGAGAGATAAAGAGGAAAATGAGACATCCGCAATGCTGAGAGTTGATGTCATTTGTTTCCAGAGCTCCTAATCGACTCAAAAACTTCTCGGTATAGGCCAAAATCCTCATGACACTTTTTTTTCCCCTATCTTTCCTACTCACAAATCTCAACATTTGTCTTTGAAAGGTACTCATCTACTTCTCAAATATTGTACTTACAGATAGAAGTCTTCAGAACCTGCATACTATTTTGTGTCTCAGCCACCAAAAAAAAAAAAAAAAAAAATTATGGAGAGTAATTGGGCAAATTGAGGGTATGAACGCCAGAAGAAACAATGTATTTTGACAAGAAAAATTGGTTGGCAAACGTTAAGGTTTTTATGAGTAATCACAATGATTCTTTAAGTAATTATAATTTGTTCCACACTCTGTCACAGTTGTTTTGATTGTGGCTTTTTATTAGTGAATAAAGTTATTTAGTTGTCCTTATTTTTAGGAATAGATTCACAGTATTGAAATATTTCAAATACCAATGATGTTAAATTTCTTGAATATTTTCCCTTTCTACTGTCTGATGAGTCATTGGACTATCATTCTGTCCCAAGAACATTATAGTGACACCAGTCTTAGTCACAAAATCATTACTGTCATAAAGTGGGGGGGCAGGATATGGGAAGAAATCTACACAATGAGACAAACCTGGCTTAATCTTACAGTTGCAATTATTACCCACATTTTTAAAGCAAACTTATCTTGAAGTAAATTTTCAAATTTCCCAATACTAAATTGCCCTGTCATTAGCCTGTCTCCAGATGAATGAAGTCTTGGGGCTGCAGGGATAAGTAGTTTAGATGCTGTGGTTTCATAATTGAATTTTCTTTTTATAAGCATGGAGAATGAGGATTAGGAGTATTATTCTGCAGGAACTGAGTGCAGCCATTGATGTAAACCCAGATGTGCTCTGTTGTACCATAGAAACATAAAGATAGAGCACCTCTGCAGTCTATGTGGTTAAATCCCTAGCTGAAGTATAAAACTCATAATAATAATGCTCTTATAAACTTTCATATGGAGGAGACAGACACTGAATATTTGTTGATTAGTAAGGCATTTGCATTGGTAAAGCGTTGCATACTGTTGAAAAGTCTAAATAAAAGATCTGTTTTCAAATATAAATAAATAAAATAGTTCATGTGTAAGAAGATAGGATAGGTAAGAAATGATATATGTAAGAAATACGATAAATAATCAAAAGTTCTTGTGTAAGAATTAAAGCAGGTAGCTTTCCTAGTGATATTACAACACATCAAACTATAATACAATACTGTGACTTTCACTTTTCAGTGTGACAACGAATTACAGGTGGAACAACACATAGAACTGACTGTTTTTTTCACTATTTCACAGAACTGGGATGGCCGAGGATTTGATAATGGGTAAGAAAGATGACCTGAATGGTCAATGCTGTAAACTTGTCTCCTTTACTAATAAACAAATTCAAACTCAGAGAAACTGGTGAATAATATCTATGCTATTTAACAAACATTCTTTCAACAATTAGTATTTAGTCTTTACTTTGTCTTTGGCTTTCCATTAGGCCTAAGGTTCAAAAGATAAAAGAGACAGCCTCGATGTAAAGTCTAAATGATTGATCAGGGAATTATGGGACACAAAAACAGTGATGGGAAAATATTCTTGGCAAAGAATACACTAATAGTCATTTTCACAGTTCCCTGCAGCATCTCTATTTACTCATAGGTAAAATTGTTGTTTGGAAAAATCCTCAAATAGATCATCCTTCTGCTGGACCCACATTTAACTGTTCAAAATAACTAATCTTTGTTGGCTTTATTAAACTATCAAGTATCAAAATTCCACAACTTTTCAGCAGAGCCTGTTGCTTCCATCTTTTTTGTACAGGGATTATTTTCTTATTTCTCTCTGAATTGTTTTGGTGATCTAAGGTCATTTACTCTGACTTTGTCACTAGGCAATATCTTCTGCTGGCACAGAAAATCATTCTTAAGGAAACTTCTCTTTCTTCTTATCAGTCAAAATGTGCTTCCTTTAATCTTTTACTTCAGGCCTATTTTTCATCATGCTGTCTTTCCCTGGAAATTTTCCTTTATTTGAGCGGGGCAGGTGGTAGGCACAGAAGCCAGTCATACTTGCTTTAAAATTGACCCAACCATTACTAAGAATAGCATTCATTGATGAACAACAACTATTAAATGCCTGTTCTGTGGCAGGCACTGTGCTAGGGACTGGGTCTGCACACACAAATTATATATGATCCCTGTTCTTGGGTCTAGTGGTCTAGAAAAGGTGACCAATAATCAGAAAAACGTGCAAAAGAAGTGTGATAAGGCATTGTTGAGTGTCATAAAGAATATGGAAGGTTGAAGGTAGGCACACATCGAGGGGCCAATTTTGGGTGGTGTTTATCAGGGCTTCATGGGAGTAGTGACTCTTGGGCTTATTGGAGTTTGAAAAGGTGGGCAGAAAATGAGTGGGACAAAGTATCACCTGTCCATATCTCGCTATCCATTTGTAGAACTTTTTAGATATGCATAGAAGACAAGACAAGTTTATTTTCCCCTCAATTGTTCGAAATTTATTGCCTTATCTATGTGCAATTTGGTGAACGTCCACGTGCACTTGAAAAAAAAAAGCAGTGTGGTGATTCCTCAAAGAATGAAAAACAGAATTACCATTTGACCCAGCAATCCCATTATTGGATACATATCCCCTAAAATACAAATCATTCTACCAGAAAGCCACTTGCATGAGTATGTTCATGGTAGCACTATTCATAATAGCAAAGACCTAGAATCAACCTAAATTCCTATCAATGATACACTGGATAAAGAAAATGTGGTACATAAACACCATGGAATATTATGCGGCCATAAAAAAGAATGAGATCATCCATCTCTATCCTTTGCAACAAATGGAGCTGGAGGCCATTATCCTAAGTAAACTAATGCAGGAACAGAAAACAAAATATTGCACGTTCTGACTTATAAATGGGAGCTAAACGACAAGAACACATAGACACAGAGGGGAACAACAGATGCTAGGGTCTATTTGAGGGTGGAGGGTGTGAGGAGAAACAGGATCAGATGAAATGCCTATCAGGTACTATGCTTAGTACGTGGATGAGGAAATAATCTATATATCAAACCCCCATAATGCAAGTTTACCTATATACCATACCTAAGGCACATGTACCCCTGAACCTTAAGTAAAAGTTAAAAGAAAAAAAAACTTTAAAAAGTGTATTCTACTGTAATCGGATGTAGTGTTCTGGAAATGTTAGTCAGGTCAAGTTGGTTAATAACAGTATTCGGACCTTTTATAGCCTTACAAATACTTTCATCTATTCTTGTCTACTTTATTTGTTCAAGATTTTAGTTTCCAACTTTGATTATGAATTTATTTCTTCCTTTAGTTTTCTCAATTTTTTTCCTCATAAGTGTTTAAACTATATTATTATGTGCATTAGAGTTGTATGTCTGCTTGATGAATTTCTCCTTTGCTTATTATCAAACATCCCATTTATCTCCTGTAATATTCTTTGTCTTGAAGTCTATTCCAGCTTTCTTATTTTCTGCATGGTATATTTTTTTCCATTCTTATACCTTCTAACTTATTTGTATTATTTGATTCAAAGAGCATCTCTTGTAGGCAACATATAGATGCATCATCCTTTTTTGAATTAGATGCTCTCTGCCTTTACATTAGTGTTTTAGTTCACTTATACGCATTGTAACTTTTGATATGGCATGGTTTAATTCTTCCATCTCACTGTTTTTTAAATTTCTCTTTTCTGTTTCTTGTTCCTCTGTTTTTCATTTCTCGTGTGCTTTTGGATTGTTTGGATATTTTAGCATCTCATGGTATTTCTTCTGCTGACTTGTTACCTATGTCTCTTCCTGTGTTTGTAATGGCTGCTCTGGGGCTAATAATATGCATCTTTAATCTATCAAAGTCTCTTTAGAATCAATATCTAACACTTCACACTTCACACCTGACACTTCCTACTTCATATTGCTCATTTCTAACCTCACTTCTATCACTATGCACTTCCCATTTTTCACTTCCCAAATAAAGCAACCTTAGAAGAGTGTAACTCAATGTAATTTCCCTATGCTTCATGCTGTGTCTTAAATTTTCCTTCTACATATATTATAAATCTCACCTGGATATAAACAGTGAATTGCCTTTTAAGAAATTGTCTTTTAAGAGAATAAGGAAACAGCTTTTTGTGATATTAATCAATCTATTGACTATGACTGGCACTTTCCTTTATTTCCTGTAGATTTAACTTTTTAATCTTCTATCATTTCTTTTCAGTCTCAAGAACATTCTTTAGCATTTCTTGTAAGTCTCTTGGTGATGAATTTTTTCAGCATTTGTTTATCTGAAAATGTGTTTATTTTACCTTCAATTTTGAGGTTTTTTTTTTGACAGAGTCTTGCTCTGTTACCCAGGCTGGAGTGGAGGGGTGCAATCATGGTTCACTGCAGGCTTGACCTCCTGGGCTCAAGTGATCCCCCCACCTCACCCTCCCAAGTAGCTGGGACTACAGGCGCATGCCACCACGCTTGGCTAATTTTTCTTTTCTTTTCTTTTTTCTTTGCTTTTTGTAAAGATGAGGTTTCATTCTGTTGCCCAGGCTGGTCTTGAACTCCTGGGCTCAAGAGATCTGCCTGTCTCTGCCTCCCAAAGTGCTGCAATTACAGGCATGAGCTACCACACCTGGCCAATATTTTTTATGGTTATAGAATTCTGAGTTAGCATCTATTTCTTCTGGTACCTATTTAAAGTGTACAATTGAATAGTTTCCTCCTTCCTGATGCCTAGTCCTTTTTTGTATATGTGGTTAGCAAATATTTTTTCCCAATGTGTAGCGTATCTTCTCATCCTCTAAATATGGTCTTTAGCACAGCAAAAGTTTTAACTTTTGATGAAGCCCAATTTATAAAGGATTCTTTTTATGAGTTGTGCTTCTTTATGAGTTGTGCTTGTGTCAAATCCAAGCACACTTTGCCTAGCGCTAGATCCCAATTCCAATGATATTCTCTTATTTTTAAAATATTTTTATCGTTTATGTTTTACATTTAAATCTATGGTTTATTTTGAGTTAATTTTTTTTTTTTTTTTTTTTTGGAGATGGAGTCTCGCTGTGTCGCCCATGCTGGAGTGCAGTGGCATGATCTCGGCTCACTGCAAGCTCCTCCTCCCGGGTTCACATCATTCTCCTGCCTCAGCCTCCTGAGTAGCTGGGACTACAGGCACCCACCACCACGCCCAGCTAATTTTTTTTGTATTTTTAGAACTGACGGGGTTTCACCATGTTAGCCAGGATGGTCTCGATCTCCTGACCTCGTGATCTGCCCGCCTGGGCCTCCCAAAGTACTGGGATTACAGGCGTGAGCCACCGTGCCTGGTCGAGTTAATTTTTGTACAAGTTGTGAGGTTTAGCTTAAGGTTCTTATTTTTGCTTATATATGTTCAATGTTCAATTGCTTTAGCACCATTTGTAGGACAGACTGTCCATTTGAACTGCCTTAACACCTTTGTCAAAAATCAGTTGAGCTTGTTTTCATGGGTCTATTTATGGGTTCTCTATTCTGTTCCATTGATCTATGTGTCTTTCCTTCCATGAATACCATACTGCCTTGTTTACTGTAGGTATCTTGTAAGGTTTAATATCAGGTAGAATGGCTCCTCCTACCTTACTCTTCTTTGTCTAGATTGTTTTAGCTACTCCAGAGTGTGTGACCTCTCATATAAATTTTATTTTATTTTGTTTTATATATTTATTAATTAATTTATTTGAGATAGAGTTTCACTCTTGCTGCCCAGTCAGGAGTGCAATGACGCGATCTTGGCTCACTGCAACCTCCACTTCCAGGGTTCAAGCGATTCTCTTGCCTCAGCCTCCTGAGTAGCTGGGACTACAGGCGCCCCCCACCACACCCAGCTAATTTTTTTGTATTTTTAGTAGAGACAGGGTTTCACCATGTTGGCCAGACTGGTCTTGAACTCCTGATCTCAGGTGATCTGCCCACTTCAGCCTCCCAAATTGCTGGGATTACAGGAATGAGCCACTGTGCCAAACCTCATATAAATTTTAGAATAAATTTTTCTCTGTGCACAAAAAACTTTACTGGGATTTTATAAAAATTGCATTAAATCTATAGATAAATTTAGGCAGAATTGATATATTTACTGTTTTCTTCTAATGCTTGGAGTTGGTATATCTCTACATTTATTAAAGTGTTCTTTGATGTCTTTCATCAACATCTTTACATCATGAGATCCTGCACATGTTTTGGTAAATGTAAACTTAAGTATTTCATTTTCGTTGGAATCAATTGTAAATAGTATTTTGTTTGTAGTTTCAGTTTCTGCATGTTCATTGTTAGCATGTAAAATGTGATTGATATTTGTGTGTGTATGTGTTGATCTTGTCTTCTGTAACCTTGCTGAACGTGTTCTATTTTGAACATGATGAGTATAAGGGTTTTGGGGAAATTCAGGTGTAGACGTTTTACAGAAAATTAGATATGTGTAAGCTTGATGCTTGGTCAGGGTTGGGGAGAGAGATTTGAGGATCAGTCATGTGTAGGTGGTAACAAAAAACAAAAAAAGTGGAAGAGGTTGCCGGGAGATTGCACCAGGAGAAAAGAGAAGCCCAGAGCTTCCTGGGAGCACAGGCATCAGAGAGGCAGGTCAGAGGAGCCAGCAAAGGAGCTGATAGAGACCAGAGAGGAGTGGAAGAACACTGAGAAAAAGTGGCATCTTAGAAAGCAAATGGAAAGAGGGTTTTAAGAGAAAGGAATTTTCAACAGTATTGGATTCGTCAGAAAGTATATGTATTAGTCTGTTCTCACACTGCTAATAAAGACATACCTGAGACTGGGTAATTTATAAAGGAAAGACATTTCATGGACTCACAGTTCCACATGGCTGGGGAGGCCTCACAATCAAGGCAGAAGTCAAAGGAGGAGCAAAGTCACGTCTTGCATGGAAACAGGCAAGAGAGAGAGCATGTGCAGGGGAACTCTCCTTTATAAAACCATCAGATCTCGTGAGACTTATTCATTATCATGAGAACAACATGGTAAAGACCCCACCCTCATGATTCAGTTACCTCCCACCAGGTCCCTTCCACGACACGTGGGTATTACAGGAGCTACAATATGAGATTTGGGTGGGGACACAGCCAAACCTTATCAGTGTAGACTTAAAATATTAGCACTTAATATAGTTTATTGAATTTGACAAATATGACCTTAAATGACCCCAGAAAACGCAGTTTCAGTGTGCATGTGAGTGTGGCAGATGTGGGTAGAGTAGAAACAATAAGCCATTATTTTGAGGACCTTAGTTGCCAAAGGAAGGAAAGTGATAGGGCAGGAACACAATTTAGCATGGGCTAAAAAGAGAATATGGTGAGACGTGAGCATAGTGTTCTTACAGGGAAGGAACCAACCAGTGGATACTGAATGGATAAATACAGAAAGATGGGAGTCAGATAGGGAGGGAAATGGGAGAAGGAGGACTGTTATGGGGAGACAGGCAGGAAATATGAGGGCAAAGATCAAGAAGGAGGAAGGAGACAGGAAGGAGAGGAGGAAGAGGTGGAGAAAGTAAAGGGAGATGGCAGGCAGAGTAACTGATGACTAATGGAGATGCAAGGGTGACTGTTCAAAAGCTCAGCAGAGGAATAACCCTTGGAAAAACCCTTTCTCTGTGATTAGTGCAAAAGTGGTTGGGCTGGATGCAGAATAGGCAAATTTGTTTCGATGAGTATGAAAAACTGTGGAATTTCTCACCTGCTAAAGTGAAAGAATTATCTCTGTGAAAGAGGCATCTTGGTCATGAGGCTCTGGGGCTGCCCTGGGGAAATTGGTTTGAGAAGAGTGGCAAAATTTTAGAAAACTTGCTGAGGAGGATGGGAAAAGGACAAAATAGGAGAAGCCAAATATTTCGGAGGAGTAATGACAGCCCAAGTGAGGTTGAGTTCCATGATTCTACTGTGGCACTGATATGAACGATGCACAGTGCAGTGAAGGAGATGCTTTTCTTGAGCCGAGGTTGTAAGATAGGGTAACATCGTGGGGCTGGGTGATTCAGCCATGTGAGTGGTGATCGTGGTGGTTGGGGTGGTGGTGATGGGTTGTTGGTTGTTGGTGGTGATGGTGGTGTTTTTCATTTTTAAAGAAATTTTGTTGGTGGTATTAGACAACAGTTGCCAGTTATTGGTAGTAATGATCATAAAAGAGTTGCTGATTACACAAAATGTGTAAGGTGGTTGGAGTCAACAAGATTAATGAATTCAGTTAGATAATAAGGTGACTAAGTAAACCAATTGCATCCGTTCTGCACAGCTAATAAAGAATAGCCAGGCTTTGTGCTCTCAATTTCTAGGCTAACTTTGATCCCAGAGAGCTAAAACAGTCTTTCTGTGGACAAAAGCCTAACAAAGAAAAGCAGAGAGGTGGGACTAAACCATCCTAAAGATGAATCTTATACAGATCCTTGTTTTCCAAGATCTAGACCTCTTAAAGAATTAATATAGTTTGTCCCAGAGGAGAGGGGTTCGAGGCTTGCTTCTTAGGGGGAAGAAGATGGAAGGGCCCCCACCAACTCAGAGATTGCCAGATCTGAAGACTTAGGTCAAAGAGAAGGGTGACAGGACCCAGAAAGTACATAGGCAACTCGGTCAGCTTAGCTATAGTCTCTGGAGCTCTGGTAAGAATTCCAGTGGCTGAGCTTGGCACAGGGAAATGAAGCCAGAGGGGCAAGGAAGAGGCAACTGCCTTAGGATGAAGGCCAGTGCACGCCATCATTTTTCTGAGCTTCACTTTAAAAAAAGAAAATTAAATAGTAAAATATCTACTATAATTTCTGTTGTTTTACTTGCTTTTAATTACCTTTCATAAATAATTGAAATAATCTCAGACAATATTACTCACATAGTCATATTTGATACATAATATTTTGATTCATGGGTATTCGAAGCTGCCTAAGAAATAAGCCATATGTCCTTAGTTTTATTTTATAACCAAGAAATATGTGTAAAATGAAACCCCAGCTCATCCCTGACCTCCATCTGCATCTGCAGGGTTGGTGGTGGGAAGGAGGTGATATATGCACTTTCACTTTGCTCCATCAAACAGGAGGTCCACATTCCCACCCCCGTATCTGCAGACTGGTGGTGTCAGATGTCTAGGTTAACATTACTTTGGGCTTTGAAATAATCTTATTTTTGGTATTATATTGTTGCAATATTTTAGTTTTAGGTGGATTAAGAAGTATGGCCTGTGTTATTAAGAAATTTATGTATGTAGATTTTTCTATTTTATTAGAATTAACATTTTAATTTACTAATGAGCTTTAGAAACTGTTAAAATAAAAGTCTTCATCAAAACGCTACAAAGAACAGTTAGTGCTATTCTATGTAAATTGCACATAGAGAGATTGAAAAAGACCCCCAAAGACAGGCTATCTAGAAAAAAACTCGCCATTTAATCCAATTAAACAATTAGTTCACTTGATCAGTTTTCATTGTTTTTCAGGAAATTGGCTGAACCTGACAACTGCTTTGGCCTTTTTGTAGATATACCATTATGACGTATAAGATGGAACTTTCTACCTGTTTATCTGCATGCACATCTCAAAATTCTTTCCATTTTTGTGTAGAGATAAATTGTTAATGAGCAAGTATTGTTTTACTTAGTTCTGATTATTAAGGTTAGCAGATAAAGTTGGAGGGAGGAAAATAAGTTATCTGACCGGTTAAGTCTCTACTTAATATTATAAGAAGTTTTTTGATGCTTGAGAAAATCTTATCTAAATCAATATAATTTTACAGTAGAGAAAACAGAAATTTTTAAAATTTAGATATTTTTATTTGTAATGGAAATTTCTGATTCTGATAAAAATTATTTACAGATTTTTATTTGTGAGTGATTTATACCATTTTGTGAATTATTTAAAATGTTTTTACTTACCCTGAAAAATTTGAAAATTAAAAATATATAGAACTGTAAACATTCAACCATAAGAAAACAAACAACCCAACTAAAAAGTGGGCAAAGGCCTGGACAGACACCTCAACAAAGAAGATACACGGATGGAAAGTTATGAAAAGATGCTCAACATCATATAGTACCATCATTAGGGAATCACAAACTGAAACAACAATGAGATACCACTGCATACCTATTAGAATGGTGGAAATACAAAACATTGACACAACAGATGCTGGTAAGGATGTGGAGCAACAGGAACTCTGATTCATTGCTGGTGGAAATGCAGAATGGCACAGCCACTTTGGAAGACAGTTTGCCAGTTTCTTACAAAGCTAAACATAACTATTTCCACGTGGTCCACTAATTGCACTCTTTCATGTTTATCCAAATCAATTGAAAACTTATGTCTACACAAAAGTCTGCACACAAATGTACACAGCAGCTTTATTCCTAATTTCCAAAAATTGGAAACAACCAAGATGTCCTTCAATAGGATACACAAACTCTGGTACATCTATGCAATGGAATATTATTTAATGACAAAAAGAAATGAGCTATCAAGGGATGCAAAGAGGCGGGACAATCTTAAGTGCACATTGCTAAGTAAAAGAAGCCAGTCTGAAAATACCACATACTATATGAATCCAACTATATGTCATTCTGGAAAAGGCTGAACTATGAAGACAGTAAAAGGATCAGTGGTTTCCCAGGATTTGTGGGGAGGAAGGGACAAATAGGCTGAGCACAAGTGTATTTTTATGGAGTGAGACTACTGTATATGACACTGTAGTGGTGGATACAGGACATCTTTAAAAACCCATAGAATGTATAGCACCAAGAGTGAACTGTAATGTAAACTATGGACTTTAATGATAATATATCAACATTAGCTCATCAATTGTAACAAATATACCACACTAATGCACCATGTTAATTAGGGCAAACAATGGGCATGGGAGAGAGGGGTATATGGAAACTCTGTACTTTCTGCTTATTTTTTCTGTAAAATTAAAATTGCTCTAAAAATAGAGCAGTTTAATATTTTAATTAAAAATATAGATAAATTCATGGAATATAAATGGATTATATTAATGGATTTTCACAAAGTAAATACTATAGAATCATTAACTATAGACTAAGCTTAATATAGAAGACTTACTATAGAATAAGCAACTAATTAAAGGAGGTGATCAAAGCTATTGAGCTTGGCATGGTTCTTGATATCCACGGAGAGTAAGAATAAAATATCTTGGCCAGGCGCAGTGGCTCACCCCTGTAATCCCAGCACTTTGGGAGGCCGAGGTGAGTGGATCACCTGAGATCAGGAGTTTGAGACCAGCCTGACCAATATGGTGAAACCCCATCTCTACTAAAAATACAAAAATTAGCCGGGTGTGGTGGCGGGTGCCTGTAATCCCAGCTACTCTGGAAGCTGAGACAGGAGAATCACTTGAACCTGGGAGGCGGAGGTTGCAGTGAGCCGAGACTGTGCCACTGCACTCCAGCCTGGGTGACAGAGGGAGACTCCGTCTGGGGAGAAAAAAAAAAAAAAAAGAATAAAATACCTTGCCTGGATAAGCTTCCAATTTATTTAGGAACAATGAAAATTTTTATTACCACATCTTCTCAATTCTAAGATTTAAAAATATATTTTTTAAGATTAAAAGTATATACATTTACAATTAAAAATATATTATTTAGCATGTCTACAATCGTATGCATTTTACAATCAATGGCATTTTATAATTGGCAACTTTTTTTTCTTAGTGGTACATAAAATATATGACATCCTGGAATTCAATAAAATATGTCTGCTTCTTGTAGTCTCTTAGAAGCGAGCTTTCTCTTCCAACTTAAAGAGAGCTGTTCAAAGATCTGGGAGAGCAGGCTCCTAGTCTTGGCTCTCTCATTAACTGGGTATTGACCCTGGCCATGGCCATTAACTGTTCTGATTCCAAGTTTCATTATCTGTAAAATGGTAGAAGTTAAAAAATCCCTTAGGTTCTCACTAACTCAACATTTGAATCTAGGCCACCTTGGTAGAATAGGGCAGGGAAGGTACTGGGGTAATACAAATGAAATTGAATTGCTCTTCTCTCTCTGTGAAGCACCTGGGCTGTTTCCAAATAGAAAATGCAGCTTAGTGATTGTTGTGAGCAAGAAATGTCCCAGCCAAGCTTAGTGAGGAAATAGCAGCAGAATTGCAGGACTTGGGCTCTGCAATCGCACATTTTATATATTTGGCACCACCTCGGACTTTCATATGAATAGAAACCAAAGACTTTTTAGTTTTTGAAAGTAAAATGCTTCAGATTTGATTTGCCTCTGAATTATACTTAGGAATATGGGAAAATTAGCTAAATCTCCAAGACACCCTCCAACCCTCCATCTGCCTGCTCACCCCCGTGCCTCCTCAACACCTTCTGTGCGCCTATTCCAGCAGCAGTGCCCACTGGCTTTTGTTCTATGGGCATCTCCCCAAGGCTCCAGTCTCTGCATACAGGTCTGTAAGCCACAAACTACCTTCACCACGCAAAGCCACTGTAGACTTTATCCTTCTGAATACTCCATGTAAGCTTGTGAATTACACTCCAAACACAACACAGTAGCTAATGTCATAAGCCAGTGAGCCACATTTAGGGCTGATTTTGAAAGCCTGGGTTTTATGTTTCCAATAGTTGTGATTCGTGAGCAAATTAATAGACCCAGAAGGGCTGCTAATCTTTGCTTCTTGCCTGTATGAGCATGTTGTTAATAACGTAACTATATTATTTGTTAATGATAATCATGTATTTTGTTATGGTAATGAACGATTGTTCTTTCAGATGAACTCCACAAGGTCATTAGTTTAGTCTTTAATTTTGCCTAAATCTGTTCATTAAGTGGCCAGAGTTATCTCTACAAATCAATCAGTTCACCCATCACTGAAACCTAACAGCTGTCTCTGTGACACAGAACTGTTGTTTACTTTGCTGAGATGCTGTCTCCCCACAGTTCTGGCCAGAAATGAAGATGAGTAACATAATGAATAGGCATCAAAAGAGGAAATTTAGGACAATTTAAATTATACCATTTTTGCTTTGCTGAATTGCCCACGTATTGTGTGACACAAAAATTAATACGTGATTTAAAATACCAAAGACATGAAAGCCTGCCATTTGCTTTCTTATCGGAACTTGAGGATAGATACACAGATTTGCCTTCTTCTTCAGCTTATTATTATTATTTTTATAAATCTCATGCTTATGACTATCTTGGTTTTTGGAGGACAATAGATATTGAGGAAAGCTATTTATTTATTATTTCTACTTTCAGATCTCCCACACTCCTAGCCCTTGACAGTTTAAACAGATAAAATATGATCACTCACTTCTCTCTAATTTTCATTCTTTCTTTCCCATCATCTGGTCCATATCCATAATTACTCCCTTAGAATCAGATAATTACAGAGATTTCAATAAGCATGTCATGATATTTGTGCATTCACAACAACCCAAATCAATTTGATAACAGCATGCAATAAATAGGTTAAGCATCAACTAGTAAACTGACTACCAGAATTGCTTCTCCAAGTTTTTTTTCTAGCATGCTTGCACTGAGTAAAATACATAGAAATTACTTTTCAGCAAGGTGGTGGCATGAGGGAAAAAATATTCTTGTTTCTCCTCTCAAATTTTCCCTTAAATGACCAGTAAAATATGCAAATATATTTTTAAAACAGCTGAAAACTAGAGATGAATATCATCCATGCACTATACATTTTGGTTTGGAGGAAAGCTAACCTGATTGTCTGCTTTTCAGAGATCAGAATGTTAAGGAAGTCAGTGAGAAGAAAGCCTTGAAGAGTTCCCTGACAAGTTAGAAAGTTCAAGAACTGGAGGCAGAATTGGGCCCTGAGGCTTTAAGCTCCCTCTTAACATTTCCCACCAACAATATTTGGACTCCACTAGTAAGCCCATAGGTCCCTCATTTACTGCTGTTTTATGGGGCCTAGGAAGTAGAGAGCAGATATAGTTCAAATTTGCTCCTTAAAACTCAGGAGACTACGAGGAGAAAAATGGCAGGGACTTCTCTCTAGTGACCTGAGAATATTGGTGGCATAGACAAATGTGCACTAAAGGAGAATCTATCATTAATGTTCTCTATTCCATGCCGCAGGCTATTAGATAATGAAAATGGTTTGAGTCTGTAGACTGTCCAGTAAATAGTTTGGACTGGGACTGAAATAATTCATCCTAATTCCTGTTTGACTCAAAATTTCACCATGAGATGAGTTAAACTGAAATATTGTAGGATCTATGAAAATATGCAGTTCACATAAAATGGATCACTGAAAAATAATTATATCCACTGCCTTCTTCTGAAGAAGAGTGTCTGCCTGATTGAGAAAAGAAATTCTGACTCCTAACAAAATGATGAACTCATTGCATGTATGGTTTTACAATAAGTATTGGTGGAGTGAAGATGTGTTTAGGACAGGAAGGATTACATGGAGATGAAAAACACAAATATTGAAAAACAAAAGGTGGTTAGAACATAGGCAAACTAAAAACTATGAATTTATTAATTATAGATAATAGGGAGAGAAACCAAGTTAGTCTTCCATCTCTGATGTAAGAATTAGGAAAAAAAAAAACTATAGAACCTCTGAGGCAGAAACAGTTTCCAAATCACAGTCTATATAGCAGTATGTGAAAAAGACAAGAGCATAGACATTGTTTTCAAAGAGAAAGGAGGCAAAATGTATGATAACTGGCCTAACTTAAACATATCATTTTGACAGTGTAAATGGATTACATTCCATGACTACAGAAAAATTTTCAAATTGGTTAAAAACAAAACCAAATAGCCCCAAATCCCATACTATATTGCTTATAAGAAATAAACCTAAAATAAGGAAAATGAGCTGTTAAAGAAGGTCACAGATTTATTAGATGAACACAACATTTTAAACAGCAGGGACTTTGATATTAGTATACCTATATTCATCCTTTTTAGTACTATTCATTCATTTTCATTATTACGTACCTCCTATGTGCCAGGCAATTTTCTAGGTGCTGGGGATATAACTGAATGAAACAGAGCAAGTTGCAACTCTAATTGAGCTTGCTTTAATGGAGAGATATTAAACAAATAATTACATAATATAAAGTTAAATAATGATACATGCTACAAAGAAAACTAAAAGAGAGAGGGACTGAAGCCAGCTGTTTCAGAAGTGTATGCTTCTCTGAGGACATGACATTTGTTCAGGGACCTGAATGGAATGAAGAAGAGCCGTGTAGTTACTTGGGGTTGCTTCAGCGATGCTCTAGAATTTTACTTCTCAAAGTATGGTCTGTGGTATGTTTGTTCCAGTTAGTGGTGAGGAGGTTGCAATTTCCTCAGAACGCAAACCAGCTCCATCATGAAGGACACTGTTCACTGCAGCTGACATTTTTCTCTTTTATTGCAAGACTTTCTTGACGAAGGAAGCACTGTGTTCATTTGCACTCTGGCTCTTGCTCTTTTTTTGTTTGTTTGTTTGTTTGTTTGTTTTTTGAGACAAAGTCTCGCTCTGTCACCCAGGCTGGAGTGCAGTGGCGCGATCTCGGCTCACTGCAACCTCCGCCTCCTGGGTTCAAGCGATTCTCCTGCCTCCGCCTCCCGAGTAGCTGGGACTACAGGCATGTGCCACCATGCGCGACTAATTTTTTTTTGTATTTTTAGTAGAGACGGGGTTTCACCACATTGGCCACGCTGCTCTTGAACTCCTGACCTCGTGATCCTCCCACCTCGGCTTCCCAAAATACTGGGATTACAGGCATGAGCCACCATGCACGGCCTGGCTCTTGCTTTTCATCTGGTTGCACTTTGAGTAACTCTGATAGACAGAGGGAACAAAGCGCAAAAGCTTGAGGCAAAAGCATAGTCAGCATATCAGGCAAAACAGATCAAGTAGACAAAGTTAATAATATTTGGCTTAACAATAGTCAATCATTAATGAAATAATCGTTTGACTTAGTTAATTGTCTTAATTGTGTAAATAATTAGAAAGAGTCCTTTCAGAGATATTAACATCAAAAATCTGTAAAGATCTCCCTCCCAAAGTCACAACTTCTCTCTCTCTCTCACCTCTCTAATTTCCAACTAGAAATCTCCACTTTGATGTGTAATAAACATGAAAAGCATAATGTGCTCCAAACTCAAGTCCTGATTCTGACCTCCACACCCTGCCCTTCCACACGGTCCTGGTCACCATCTTGGTCCTGGTCACCATCTTCCCTTGCACATATTGTTGCCGTAGATTCCCAAATGGACTCTGTGCTTCTGTCCTTGGTCTTTCCCTAGCCTATTCTCCACACAGAATCAAGAGTAGATCTTTTAAAATGTTATTCAGATCATAGCACTACTACTTAAAACGCTTGTTAGTTTTCCATCTCATTCAGAGTAAAAGCTGAAGTCTTTACGATAGCCCACAAGCCCTGCGTGACCTAGAACACACTGCCTCTCTGATTTTATCTCATATCCCGTGCTTACTATCTTCCAGCCACATCGGCCTCTTTGCTCTTTTGTGAACACCCTGAACGCACATCTCAGGGGCTTTGCGCTTGTTAGTGGTCTCCATGACTGCTTTTAGGTCTGATATGTTTTGGATCTGTGTCCCTGCCCAAATCTCATGTCGAATTGTAATCTCCAACGTTGGAGGTAGGGCCTGGTGGAAGATGATTATCCAATCATGGGGGCAGTTTCTCCTGAATGGTTTAACACCTTCCCCCTTGGTGCTGTTCCTATGATAGTGAGTGAATTCCTGTGAAAGCTGGTTGTTTAAAAGTGTGTAGCACTTCTCCCTCCCTCTCTCTCTTCCTTCTGCTCTGGCCATGTAAGATGTGCCTGCTTCCCCTTTGCTTTCCACCATGATTGTAAGTTTCCTGAGGCCTCCCCAGAAGCAAAAGCCACCATGCTTCCTGTACAGCCTGCAGAACTGTGAGCCAATTAAACCTCTTTTCTTTATAAATTGCCCAGTCTCAGGTATTTCTTTATAGCAGTGCAAGAACAGACTAATACAAGGTCTATGGTGTTCACGAAATCTTATCTGATTACCATATTTACAATACCAACTCATCCCCAAGCCCAGATACCTCTTCTTACAGTGGTGCCCCCTTACCCACTAAGGGTTTTGGTTTCCATAATTTCAGTTACCTGCAGTCAACTGTGGTCTGAAAATAGTAAATGAAAAATTTTAGAAATAAATAATTCAGGCCAGGCGCAGTGGCTCACACCTGTAATCCCAGTACTTTGGGAGGCCAAGGCAGGTAGATTGCTTGAGCTCATGATTTCGAGACCAGCTTGGGCAACATGGCAAAACCCTGTCTCTACAAAAAATACAAAAATTAGCCTTGTGTGGTGGCATGCACCTGTAGTCCCACCTACTTGGGCCAGGTCTGAGGTGGGAGGATTGCTTGAGCCTGGAAGGTTGACGCTGCAGTGAGCCGAGATTATGCCAGTGTACTCCAGCCTGGGCAACAGAGCAAGACCCTGTCACAACAAAGAAAGAAGAAATAAACAATGCATAAGTTTTAAATTTTGTGCCGTTCTGTGCAGCATGATGAAACTCACACTTTTCTGCTTTGTCCCCCCAGGATGTGAATCATCCCTTTGTCCAGCGTGTTCATGATGTCTATGTTACCTGTCCATTAGTCACTTCATCGTTGTCCGGGTTGTCAGACTGATTTCACCTTATTGTAGTGATTGTGGTAAGTTATCCTTATTTTACTTCATGATGTCCCCAAATGCAACAGTAGTGATGCTGACAATCAGGACATGCCAAAGAGAAGCCATACGTTGCTTCCATTAAGTGAAAAAGTGAAAGTCTTCGACTTAAGGAAAGAAAATAAATTGTGGCTGGGCATGGTGGCTCACGCCTGTAATCCCACCACTTTGGGAGGCCTAGGCGGGTGGATCACTTGAGGTCAGGAGTTCGAGACCAGCCTGACCAACATGGAGAAACCCCGTCTCTACTAAAAATACAAAATTAGCCAGGCGTGGTGGTGCATGCCTGTAATCCCAGCTACTCGGGTGGCTGAGGCAGGAGAATCACTTTAGCCCGGGAGGTGGAGGTTGCAGTGAGCCAAGATCGCGCCATTGCACTCCAGCCTGGCAACAAAAGTGAAACTCCATCTCAAAAAAAAAAAAAAAAAGAAGAAAAGAGAAAAAGGTAATTGTATGGTAAATCTTATCAAGTTTATCATATATTAAACTTATCACAGGTACATATGTGTAGGAGAAAACAGAATATATATATATAGGGCTCAACACTATCCACAGTTTCGGGCATCCACTGTGGGTCTTGGAATGTATCCACCGTGGATAGGGGGCACTAGTGTACTTTGCTTTACTTTTCTCCAAAGCACTTCATATAATTTGACATTTATTTTCTCCTTATCTGTCTCCCACCCACTCCCCTAATAGGGTAATGGTTCATGGAAGAGAAAGCTTGTTCTTATTTTATCTCCAGCACGAAGAGTGAGTTCGATATATATTGATATGTGGGTATTTGTTTAATAGATGAATACAAGAATAAAATCATACTTAGAATTCTAAGACTAAAGATAGAATAAAATGTGTAGCTTTCCTCTGTCAAGTGAAGAAACAAATCTGGACTTAAGTCAAGAGACAGTCCATTCATAAATTCTATTGCAAAAGGAAGAGGGTCACTATTGCCTTAAGGAGAATGCTCTGACCATAGCCTCCGCAGGTGTCTCAAAGCTCAGGCAGGAAAGGGATTCTCTTTTTTTTTTTTTTTTTTTTTGAGACAGAGTCCTACTCTGTCGCCCAGGCTGGAGTGCAGTGGCGCAATCTTGGCTCACTGCAACCTCTGACTCCCACATTCAAGTGATTCTCCTGCCTCAGTCTCCCAGCTAGCTGGGTTTACAGGCACACACAACCACGCCTGGCTAAATTTTTTTGTATTTTTAGTAGAAACGGGGTTTCGCCATGTTAGCCAGGTTGGTCTTGAACTCCTGACCTCAGGTGATCCACCCACCTGGGCCTCCCAAAGTGTTGAGAGTACAGGCATGAGCCACTGCACCCGGCTAAGGGCTTCTCTTTTTATGTGAAGGAGTAGAGAATACTAGAGAGGAGTGGCTGTGCGGGAGTGGGATGAGCAGGTGGTGTGAACAGACAATTTGAACAGGGAAGGATCACTGAGGAGAGATGTTCTGTGTTTTAGTGCTTGCTTAAGCTCAGGGGCCAGCCAAAGTTCAAAGGCCTGGGGAGGGAGAGAAGCCTCATTAAGTTTGAACAAGTTAAGTTGATGAGCAGTTTGTTCAGATTAGTCAGTGAGGACCAAAGAATGAAAATTTGGAGGGTTGGCTTAGTCTGTTCAAGCTGCCATAACAAAATACCATAGACTAGGTGGCTTATAAACAACAAAAACTCATTGCTCACAGTGCTGGAGGCTGTGAAGTCCAAGATCAAGGCATCTGTAGGATTGGTTTCTGGTGAGGGCCAGCTTTCTCATGGACAGCACCTTCTTGCTGTATCCTCACATGTCTTAAGGAGCAAGGCAGCTCTCTGGGGCCTTTTTAAATCACTGATTCCATACATAAGAGCTCCAATCTTATGACCTAACCACCTCCCAAGGCCCCACTTCCTGATACCATCACCTCGGGGGTTAGGATTTCAACATATGAATTTGGAAGGACACAAACTTTCAGACCCTAGGAGGGGTTGTGTCTGGCTTCGTCATAGGTTCTCAAGGAGCTCATCCATGAGTCTTCCCCAAGTCACATGGGGAAGGGTGGCTCTCTGCCTGGAACACAAAAGGACAGGGAGGATTTCTTGACCATTACTGTTTTCCACATTGTCAGCCCATAGGGGGTCGGTCACAGTGAGGTCATACACCAACTTCAAGACTGGAGAATGGCAGCTGTGGGGACCATCACTGAGCTGTTTCTTCTGCCGCAATGTGTTGCCAACAACAGACTTCACAAAGAGATCATTCCCCATCAACCCATTCACATGTCTCTTAACTGTCAGCTTTATGTCCTCCATCTGCTGTCAGTGTGCCTCCATCTGCTGTCCAGCTCACAGAATCTTGAATCTCATGTTTTCACTGTTCCTCTGGGTCATTGAAACAGAGAGAGATTAAAGGTGGTTCAATAGGGAAAGTCAGAATGTATGGTTCTTACTTTATTCACTGTTCTGCCAACCAACATAATATGATATTACTAGACATGAAACAGAAATGATTTCAGTTATAAATAATTTACTATCCTCAAAGAAGGTTAGAATTAAGTTGGTTATATTTTCTTTCATTTAAATAGCTTGCTCTGGGAGCCTGTTATGTTTCCTAGACTTACTCTGGTACTGAATTCCAGTATTCCGTAGATCTTATTAAATACATAAATCTTGTTTATTCTAAGGCACTGCTTTATATGAACAAACCACCTCAAGTTCTTACTCTGATTTTAAAGGACAAGAACTTTGGGGAATACTAGAATATATTGGTCTTACCTGGAAAATGCTAACATTTGTAGCAGAAGGGCCTCAGAGAGCCCACACTCAGCAACCCAGATAATGTCCAAGTTCTCTGTTTATAGAGAAAAATCTCAGGGTACTAGCCCTAGGAACATTTTTTCCCAGGTGTCCCTGTGATAATCCTAAGGTATGAAGAAATGTAAGGTAGTCCCACAAAACAAAGGTTAAATTGAAATGGTTTCATACTCTAGCACTGAAAATAACTGTTTTTCAACAAACTGTAAGAAATAGTGCCTTACATTTGTCTGGAACTTATACTTTACAATATGCTTTTAAATATACCATGTCATTAAATTTCACAACAATTTGGCAAGAAAGAAATGATAATCTCCATTTTGTTGATGAGTAATAAAAGCTATTATCTATTTCACACTTACTTCTTGCCAGGCACCATGGTGAGCACTCATTTGATCCTTGCAACACTCTTATGACGTATGTGCTATCATTGTCCTTGTAATACATACATTGAAAGTGAGGCTCAGGAAATTTGAAGATTTTGCCTAAGGTTAGGCAATAAGTAAGTAACAGAGTAGAAATTTGAACACGTTTTTCCAACTCATAATGCTCTAAACCAGTGGTCTTCACACTATTTTGGCCACACAATTTTTAAATTATCTATGTACCACTGTATTACCATGTACATTAACATATATAGAAAAATAGCATTAAAAAAGAGAACAAGATAAAAATGCAAATAGAAATATAAGTTATTTCTTCTCATACTCTAATAGAATATCTTCTACATCCAATAAACTTAATCTTGCTGATGACTCTTCAAAGTTATTACCCTCTATGGACTGTGCAAATGGCAACCAAATTTCAACTTGAGTTTTGGAGGGAACATTCAAACCATAGCACTCTTCACAGTCTGAGGATGATATTATTGTTGAGAGGGGTAGGTCTTTGAAACCAGGCTTGGGATTCTAGCCAAGCGCGTGATATGGAATGTGATATAGAATGTGGTGGTTTGAGGCTGACCAAGAGGCAGTAGAATGGCATTGGAAAGGACCTGGAGTTATCAGAGGAGAGTGGAGGGTCTCACTGAATCGTTTATTGATTGTGTGATTATGGACAAGTTGCCAAGACACAATGGGCTTTGGTGTCCTAATCTGTACCACGTTAAGAGGTGAGACCATAAAGAGGTGATTAGGCAGATCCCCTCAAGAATGAATTAATGCCATTATTATGGGAGCAGGTTAATTGTCATGGGAGTGGGTTCCCCATAAATGGGTGAGTTGGCCCAATTTTCTCTCTCTTGCAAGTCTTGCAAGCTTGCTTCTTCCTTCCATTCTTCTGGTATAGGATGACACTTGACAGATGTCAGCATCATGCTCTTGGACTTCTAGCCTCCAGAACTGTGAGCCAAATACACTTTTTTTTTAATTACTCAGTCTGTGGTATTCTGTTATAGCAGTAGAAAATGGACTAAGAAAGAGTATGAGAAATGAGTGCTCTAGCTATTGTAATTGTTTGGATGAATCAGGTCCAAATCCTCTTTAATCTCAATTTTTCTTGACAGAGAACATCTGCTCTTATTGGACAATTTTTACCACCCCCGGCTCACTTGGTGCCATAGAGGGCTGCCTGTTTTGAACAATTCAACTTAGATGTATTTTCTTTTCTCTTTTTCTTTCTTTCTTTCTTTCTTTTTTTTTTTTTTTTTTTGAGACAGAGTTTCACTCTTGTCATACATGCTGGAGTGCAATGGTGAGATCTTGGCTCACTGCAACCTCCACCTCCCGGGTTCAAGAGATTCTCCTGCCTCAGCCTCCTGAGTAGCTGGGATTACCAGTGCCTGCCACCATGCTCAGTTAATTTTTGTATTTTTAGTAGAGACAGAGTTTCACCACTTTGCCCAGGCTGGTCTTGAACTCCTGATCTCAGGTTATCTTCCTGCCTCAGCCTCCAAAGTGTTGGGATTACAGTTGTGAGCCACCATGCCCAGCCTATTTTCTTTACTAGAGTTTGCATTTGACTGTACTCACATTTGGTGTCTGGACACTCCAAAATTTAATATTTATCACTTTACTTGGGGTTTGTTTTATTTTTTGCTAACTTCCAATGATTCTGTGAGTTCACTTTAATATGAACAATACAAACTGCTGCTCTAATCATTTATAAATTCAAACAATGTGATTGTGCCAGACATCGTAGATATCCTCACCATACAAGATTTATTATGTCTGGCCCTGAGTGCTTACCTGTTTTGTGGTCAAAGGTAGCACAGTAAGGTTGCCAGGATGGTGAAGTCTCCGTGTGTGGGATGAGATGGAGTTGGAAGCCTGGTATAGTGTTTCTCCCAGAAGGGAATATGAGCCTGAACAAGTAATGTCTTATCACTAAGTGTCCTCAGCAAGAGTCCTCCAGGGACTACTGTGCAAACACAGAAAAGGGAAAGTGAATCCCAAAGGTACAGGACTCTGGAAAGCCACCAAGGGGAGTAATAGCTTTATTGAGCGTTTCATTCCAGGGACGCAAAACCTTTACCTTTAAGAGTTATATCGAAACTCCCCAACCCTAGCCATTTATTTTATAAAAAGCAGTTCACTTTCACCAAATAGAGTACGAGACAGTTTACAACAGAAATCATATCACCATTTCTTCCACTTTGTTTGCTTCAAAGAGAAGCCTATCAAGGACAAGGAAGTCAGTGCTGTTACTAAATAATTTGATTTGATTTGATCTTACTTGTTAAGCAGACATGTATGAAGCAGGCATGCATGAAATCAGCTGCATTACAACCCCAGAAGTGGTTTTGCATTCACTGTATTGAAGTTCACACAAAGCACAGCATTGAACTCCCTGATCTCATCTACTTGAGACTGATACTGAGACTTCAGGTGGACCAGACACATCATATAAGGATAAAAATAAGTATCTGGCATCAATCTGGAATAGGACTGGGGTCTCTGGGTGGCTAGACTGATGCTCTCCCCATTTGGCAGCACTGCCCTCCTGTAGGGCATTATGACTGGATCACTTTTGAAAGATGTGTCAGGGGTCCTTCGGTGATGAAGGATCTTTAATAGGAATGACAAAGACTAGATACCTCATTTAGCTTCTTTAAGTGATCTCTGAGGGAAGCTAGAGAAAAGGTTCTTAAAAGCTGCCACACCTCTGTAGCCCAGAAAGGAAATTTTCATATTTACTTCTTTAGAGAAACCAACTCCAGTCATCTACAGTGCTTTCTTTCTTTCTGACCCTTGGAAAAAATGTTATTTGCCACGTTTTAGCTCATACTGCTGGCCTAAGTGATAATGAACACAAGATAATATGTGATCTCCCTGAACAGTGTCTGAGATAGTATCCACCCTCCCTTGCTTTATTTCCCCCTGAACTTTGCAGCTGATATATTGTCTTTATATGCCTCTGCTTGTTTTCTGTCTCCCAGTGGGATATAAGTGCCTCAACAGCAGGGCCCTGGTCTAGCTTATCAGCTGTTGTGTTCTCAGCATAGAACCCTGCATGGCCTGGAAATTGTTGGTTGGTTGAACAAATAAGCAAAGCAACAGACGAACAGATGAATACCTTGCACAAAGGCTAATTCTATTAAATTCTTACCAAGGAGGTCTTACCAACAACATATAGCCAAGGTCATCACATGTCATTTTGCTTAGAGTTGCAGATTCCAAGAATCTTACAAAACAAAAAACAACAACACAAAAAAACCCTTTGTTTAAGACAATCAAAGATTGCCTTTCACAAACCAGAGCTAGTATAAATGTCCTTCCTGCACCTGAGGACATTTATTTGCATGCATATAACACTGTGTAGGCCCTTTTTAGTATTGTCAGAGTGATCCTGAATCCACAGAATGACCTTCCCATGTTCTGGATTTCAAGGCTCCCCAGGAAGAGTCACTTTTATCTGGATGACAGTGTGTTCAGCGCAGTAGCATCCCAGGTTTTCCAGAAAGCCCTTCAGGAAAAACTGTTTCCATCATGTTTTAAGCAAGTGCTTTTTTAGCCATGAAATGAAGACCTACCTCATGCTCCTTCAAGTAATTGCATGTATATGGAGGAAGGAGTGGTGGTTGTTGTGATAATATATACACAGGGGAGCTCAGGGGTATCTGGACAGCCAAGCCTGGAAAGCGGTGGTTCCGTGTTGAAGGCAACTGCAACAGCAAAGTGGTGAATTTGCTCAGATAGTCTCAGTGGCTTGGCACATGCCTGCTTCTCATGCATCTCTATTAGCACTCTCTCAATTATAGATCTTTATATGGATCTTGAGATAGGTGTCTTCTATCTACCTTATAGTTTCTGCTTATTCGTTGTTTGTGTTACCACGTAACTCCAGCTCACACAGGTTTCTCATGACCCCTCCAGCCTCTACAACAGAACCTTTTCATGAAAATGCAGCGGCTCCTAGCATAACTTTGTTTCATTTTAACATTGGAAGAAAAAAATAGATTCCCATCTGGGGCCACTCTCTGTGGAGTTTACACATTCTCCGCTTGTCTGTATGGGTTTGCTCTGGATACTCGCATTTCCTCTCACATCGTGGAGTGGAACGGTGTGTTTATGTGGTCCCAGTGTGAGTGAGAGTGGGTGTGTGTGTGTGACTGTACCCTGCAATGGGATGGTGTCCTGTCCTGAGCTGGTTCTGGCCTTGAGTCCTGAGCTGCTGGGATGGGCTTCACAGCCACCCATGACCCTGAACTGGAATGAATGGGTTGGAAAATGAGTAAATGAGTAAACATAAGTCATTGCCAAAGAAAAATGTGTAAAGTATACAATAATCATACAAAGGCACAACAATAAAGGATGCAGCAATAAAGCACTCAGTGAGCCGCCATATGTGATTGTTGGTTTTTTAAGCCACGTGGTGACTGGGGGTGCTCCTTATGATTTCAGCTGTGAAAACATTTATTCCTTGATTGAAACTACCTATGGTTGCCTTCACTCACTGATTCCAGAAATTGGGTAAATAATTATCTTACCTGTTTTTATTGATCTTTCTTAAATGTATGTGTAGCTCTCATTTATTTCAAGGTTTAATATTAGAAGTATTTTCAGTCTTTTGTTAGAGGTTTGGTAATGTTTTTGTGACCAGAAAAGTCACAGAAACTTAACTCTTTTTTTATATTAATTAGCCTATGGTAAAATTGGTTTCATTATCATTTTGCTTAAAGTCAGTTTCCAAGAACCTATCCACTACATTAATTGAGGACTTACTATGTACAAACTAAAATTAAAAGGCTTAATTATTCCTCTTGAAAATAAGAAAAGAGATTTTCCTCTCTTCCTTTTTCTTTAAGCATTTACCTTAGAAAACTTCTAGTTGTAAGTATTTTCTTCTCCCTTTGAAATGTATTTAAATCCTTTTGAAGATTAGGTAGGACTTTCCTCAGCTTTGTTATCCTGGAATGTCTTTCCCAAGGACCTGGCAGCCATCTCTTTGAAATGTAAACATCAAAGGACTTAGCACCCCCATCTCCCAGTTTCTGTGTCAGGGTAGAAGTCTGACTTCAGTGAGTATCTTGCTCCAAGTTGCAAAACTGCCTCCCAATATAAGACATGAGAAGTTGGTTTCTTCCTTTGGATAAAGCCAATTAGCTAATACAGGTGGTCAGCCCCATGCCTAGGTAAAGTTAGGATGAACTTTGTGTGACAGTTGGTGCTGTCAAGTCCTCTTATTTGAAGACTAGTTATTGCTTACCTTGAAAACACATACGTAATGGCTATATAAAAATGTGAGATTTCTTTCTGTCTTTGCAATCTCCTAGTGGTGCACATTACATTCTGGTTTAATGCTATTAAATAAAATTTATGGAAGGCTGTAGGTTTAGATTGAGCTTCTGCACTGGGCCTCAACAGACCAAACCAAAATGGAGTCATTCACGCTAAGTGCCACATAATCAAACAAGAGATTCACAGCAACCAGTCAGAAAGGGCTCAGCCAACCTGAGCCAGCACTATAGGAAAGAATGAAAGTAACCTAAAGTAACCTGATGTTAACCAATCCACTTTTCTGTATTATTGTTTCCTTATTCTGCAAGATAGCACCTTACAAAAACCAACTGTTCCACCTTACCCAACAGAGCTTCCTCTATTTTTAGATAGGATGCTGCCTGATTCATGAATTGCTAATAAAAGCCAATTCAATCTTTAAACTAAATTTGTTGAAGTTCTGTTTTTTGCCAATACTTATTCAATAATAAAAGTGCTATTTTTTCCCCCTTCAACTATCTTTAGGGAGAAGATTTCTCGGTAGGGAGAAAGTTTTCTTTTTAATTACATTTTCCCAAATACCTATCACATTTATTTTCTGTGGCTACCTGACTGTTTCCTTTTTCTTCATTCAGATTCTGTGGAGAAAGACTCTTATTGGACAGCTCTCCTTTTTGAGCAAGGTTTTCAATCTATAAACTGGCTGCCAGTGGATGAAGTACCCTGTCCCTCTCCCTGTCCAATGTGTGAGGCCAGAGGTGAAGCAGGATCTTCTGTATTGTACATGGTGCTAAAGACTACTCACTAGTAGGTATTGTGTTGTGAGCTAAGTGACTCTCTATATGATACTTTTGAACATTTATGGAAAAATAAGGAATATAGTGATGCTGGTTGGTTGCTCCTAATGTTACTGGATATGTGGTGGAAAAAAAAGAAATGAGTTCAGTTCAGGGAGTTGAATTCCCAGGTGAAGAATCACAAATGACCTAAGAGCTTCCAGGTGTGCCCTGAAGGACAACCTTATCTCCAATAGTTACAGGGCTGAAAATGCTGAAAGCTGAATGCAGAACCTCATCTGATGATTGGCTAAATTACAGCACAAGTTGAAATCCCAGCTTCCCAGGGTGTCTACTGTTAAAGTGAGGGCATTGATTGCGAAAGAATGGGATCCATAATTTGAGATGGGGCCATGTGGGAAGACCCTGATGAACCTGGAGTTACTGAGCCCCTAAATTCTGATGAACCTTCTTTGCCAGAGGGAGATGTCTCCCCAGCCCCAGTAGAAGAGGCCTCCCCAGCCCTACTGACAGCAGCCTCCCCAGTGTCAGAGGTATTGGCCTGTCCACCTCTGTCTGAGGGGTTTAACCCTGCATTGCTTGAGAAAATGGTAAGGGCCTCCCCTGAGAGAACTGCCATGCAAGACAATTCTGATTCTCCGCAGGACTCACCATGACCACTCCTCTTTGCTTCTAGACCTATGACTGGACTCAAGTCCCAGCAGGGCCCTAAAGGTGAGGTACAAAGTATGACCCATAACAGGGCGCACTGAATTCCAAAACAACTACTTGAGGTTATTAGTTCATACAAGCAGAAATCCAGGAAACATGTATGGGAATTATGGATGTGGAACATATGTGGGAATTAAGGGTGTGGAAAAATGGTAGAAGGAACATAAAATTGGATCAGGCTGAATTTATTGATATGGGCTCAGTAAGCAGAGATTCTGCATTCAATATTGTGGCTTGGCAGAAAGGGCTCTAACTGGTAGGGTGAAGCAAAGATGAAAAGATGGTCCACCATAAATGAATTGGAAATGCCTGACCTCCCTTAGTTTAATAGAGAGGAAGAAATTCAAAGGCTTAAGGAGATTGGAAGATTGGAGTGGATTTGTCATTTACCTTACTCACCTATGCTGAAAGGGTCCAGAAGACATACCTTTCACCAATACTTTGAGAAATACTTTGAATAAATAAATAAATAAATGTTGAGGAGATACCCAGCATCTTTGTCAAGCTTTGTGGTTGCTCTTTTTTGTAGGCTCCACCTCACAATAGGAACCACAGTCATTCGACTGGAAAACCTAAATGCAATGGGATTTTCTAGATCCCATTTTTTTTCTCCAGTTCTGGAATGCATAATTAAAATAGACATATTTAGCAGGCAGAAGTCCTCTATTCATCCCCTGACCTGTGAAGTGAGGGCTATTATGATAGAAAAAGCCAAATGGAAGTCATTAGAACTACCTCTACTTAGAAAAATAACAAATCAGAAGCAATTCTAGATCCCAGAATATGGCAGGAATCAAGTGATGGTAGTGGCACTTAACCACCAAAGGCAAAGTGGGCATGGTTATTATAATGAACAGCAGAGTCAAAGCAGCAACCAGAATAGTCTGACTCCAGGAGACGTATGGTGTTGGCTAGTTAATCATGATGTTTCTCAAAGTGAAATAGATAGGAAGCCTACCAAATTCTTAATTGATCTGTATAAGCAGAACATTTCTAGGCCAAAAAACAAAAGTCTAACTCAAATCATAAAAACAGAGAGATGTGGCCCCTCAATCAATTCCCAGATGAGCCAGTTTACAGACCTGGAACCTTATGAGTGAAGGGGATGTTAGGACCCCTGGAAGAACCACAGCATAATACTAAAAATTTATACTGTTAAATCTTTCTCCTATCCTTCTTCAAAGGGACCTATGGCCTTTTACAAGGATAACTGTACACTGGGGAAAAGCAAATAATCAGACCTTTTGGGTCTACTGGACGCTGGATTTGTCTATCCACTGATTACAGGAGACCTAAAACATCACAGTGGTCTTCTCATTAGAGTAGGGGCTTGTGGAAGTCAGATGATCAATAAAGTTTTAGCTCAGATTTGTCTCACAGTGAGTCCAATGGGTCCTTGAACCTATCCTGTGTTTTTCTTTTTCTCCAGTTCTGGAATGCATAATTAAAATAGACATATTTAGTAGCAGGCAGAATTCCTCCATTCAGTCTCTGACCTGTGAAGTGAGGGCTATTATGATAGAAAAGGCCAAATTGAAGTCATTAGAACTACCTCTACTTAGAAAAATAGCAAATCAGAAGCAATTCTACATGCAGAAATTAGTGCTACTCTCAGAAACTTAAAAGATGCAGGCATGGTGATTTCCACCATATCTCCATTCAACTATCCTGTTTGGCCCATGATAGACAGGTCTTGGAGAAAGACAGTGGATTATCATAAACCTAACCAAGTGGTGACTCCAATTGCAGATTCTGTACCAGATATGGTTCCATTTATTGAGAAAATCAACTATCTCCTGGCACTGATATGCAGCTATTGATCTGGGAAATGGCTTTTTCATCATCCCTGTCCATGGGAACTAGCAGAAGGGACCAGAAAAGCAGTTTGCTTTTAGTTGGCAAGGCCAGCAACATACTTTCACTCTCCTACCTCAAGGGTATGTCAACTCTACAGTTCTATGTCATAATTTAGTTTTCATGGATCTTGATCACCTTTCTCTCCCACAAGATATCACACTGGCCCATTACATTAATCACATTTTGCTGATTGGACCTGGTGAATGAGAATTAGCAACCACTCTAGACTTAACGATAAGACCTTTAAGTGTCAGAAGTTGGGAAATAAATCTGACAAAAATTCAAGGGCTTTCTAACTCAATGCAATTTCTATGTGTCCAATGGTGTGGGGCATGTGGAGATATCCTTTCTAAGGTGAAGGTTAAATTGTTGCATCTGGCACCACCTGCAACCAAGGAAGAGACACAGCACATATTGGGCCTCTTTGGATTTTGGAGGCATCATATTCCACATTTGGGTGTGTTTTGCTGAGCCGTTTACAAAACGACCTGAAAAGCTTCTAGTTTTGACTGCAGCCTAGAACAAAGCAAGGCTCTGCAATAGGTCCAGGTTACTGTGCAAGTTGCTCTGTTACTTGAGTCATAAGATTTAACATATCCAATAGTGCTTGATATATTAGTGGTGAACTGAGATGCTGTTTGAAGCCTTTGGCAGGTCCATATAAGTGTATTGGAGTGCAGGCCTTTAGGATTTTGGAGCAAGTCCCTGCTATCTTCTGCAAATAACTACTTCTTTTTTTCTTGAGAGACAGTTCTTGGCCTGCTACTGGGCATCAGTAGAATCTGAATGTTCAACAGTGTGGCACCAAGTTACCATGTGACCTGAGCTGCCCATAATAAACTGGGTGTTATCTGACCACCAAGCTGTAAAGTTAGGCATGCACGCAGCACTTCATCATCAATGGAAGTGGTATATATGTGATCCAGCTCTAACAGTCTCTGAAGGCATAAGTAACTTACATGAAGAAGTTGCCCAATTGCCCATGGTCCTCCCTTCTGCTACACTGCTTTCTCTCTCCCAGACTGTACCTATGGCTTCATGGAGAGTTCCCTATGATCAGTTGGCAGAGGAAGAGAAGAATTAGGCCTGGTTTACAGATGTTTCTGCATGATATGCAGCACCACTCAGAAGTGTACAGCTGTAGCACTACAACCACTCTCTGGGACATCCCTGAAAGACAGTCATGAAGGGAACTCCCCACAGTGGACAAAAATTCGGTCAGTGTACCTGGTTTTTCCCTTTGCTTAGAGGGAGAAATGGCAAGATGTGTGATTAAATACTTATGTATAGGCTGTAGCCAATGGTTGTTTGGCCGGATGGTCAGGAACTCGGAAGGAAAGTAATTGGAAAATTGGTGACAAATAAATTTAGGAGACAGAAATGTGGATAGACATCTCCAAATCAGCAAAACTTGTGAAGATATTTATGTTTCATGTGAATGATCACCAAAAGGTGACCACAGCAGAGGAGAACTTTAATAATCAAGTAGATATGATGACCCTTTCTGTGAATGCCACTCAGCCTCTTTCCCCAGCCACTCCTGTCATTGCCCAATGGGTTCATGACCAAAGTTTCCGTGGTGGCAGACATGGAGGTTTTTTACAGGATCAGAAACATGGACTTTCACTCACCAAGGCTGACCTAGCTATGGTCACTGCTAAAGGTCCAATCTGCCAGTAGCAGAGACCAACACTGAGCCTCCAATATGGCACCATCCCTAGGTGATCAGCCAGCTACCTGGAGTCATGTTTATTACATTGCTGGCCTGCTTCCATTATGAAAGGGCCAGTGTTTTTTTCGGAAATAGATACTTCTCTTTGCCTTCCCTGTACACAGTGCTTTTGCCAAAACTACCATCTGTGGACTTACAGAATGCTTTATCCACTATCATGGCATTCCACACAGCGTTGCGTGTGATTAAGGAACTCACTCCACAGCAAAAGAAGTGCAGCAATAAATGCACGCTCATGTAATTCACTAGTTTAACCATGTTCTCCACTATTCTGAAGCAGATGGCTTGATAAAATGCTGCAATACCTTTGTGAAGAGTCAGTTATAGTGCCAGTTAGGTGGCAATACCTTGAGTGCTGGGGCAAGGTTCTCTGTGCTCTAAGTCAGTGTCCAATATTTGGTGTTGTCTCTTCCATAGACTGGATTCATGGGTCAAAGAATCAAAGGGTGGAAATGGAAGTAAAACCACCCACCATTACCCTTAGTGACCAGCTAGCAAAATTGTTGCTTCCCATTCCTATGACTTTATACTGTGCCGGCCTAAAGGTCTCTAGTTGTGAGGGAGAAATGCTTTCACCAGGAGACATTATGATGATTCCATTGAACTGAAAGTTAAGACTGCTGCCCAGTCAGTTTGGGCTCCTTCTGGTTTTGAGTCAACAGGTAAAGAATGGAAGTATGGTATTGACTGAGGTGATTGATTCAGACCACCAAGAGGAATTGGACTATTATTCCATAATGGAGACAGAGAAGAGTATGTCCAGAAAACAGGAGATCCTTCAGGTATCTTTTAGTGTCACCATGCGCTGCGATTATGGTTAATATAAAACTATAACAACTCAATGACCAGGACTCAAGGGCTACTAATGACCAGGCCCTTCAGATTTGGATCACCCTGCCAGGTGAAAAACCATGACCAGCTGAGGTGTTTGCTGAAGGCAAAGGGAATACAGAATGAATAGTAGAAGAAGGTATTTATAAATACCAGCTAAGAATAAGTGACCAGTTACAAAAATGAGGGCTATAACTGCCATGAGTATTTTCTCCTTGTTTTGTAATGAATATATTTGTGTGGATATATACATGTATATATATATATAATATTTGAATATATATGGAATATATATTATATATTTATAAATCAATTTATATATAAGCAAATATTTTTCACTCTCTTATTCCCTTATGTAACATAAGATGCATTGACTTTATATCATAGTATTTAAGTATTATTAATCTTACATAGAAGTAAAGTTATAAGATATCAAGGGGAAGAGTTAACATCACTCAAATACTTTACCTCCTCTTCTGGGGAAGGGATTAGTGTGTTTTCAGTTGTATGCAGGATAGTTGTATCACGTTAGGCAAAATTATGACCCTGTTAGTGTCTTTAATTGAAGATTAAGTATGGTTTAAAAAGATGTGTATGAGTTGATTGATAAGAGGTGGAATTGTGGTGGTCATTTTATGTGTCAACTTGACTGGACTAGGGGATGCCCAGGTAGCTGGTAGAACATAATTTCTAGGTGTGTTTGTGAAGGTGTTTCCAGAAAAGATTAGCATTTGAATCAGACTGAGTATAGAAGATCACCCTCACCAATGTGAGTAGGTACCATCCAATTTATTGAGAACACAAATAGAACAAAACTTCAGAAGAATGCATTTTCTCTTTCCTTATGGAGCCGAGACATTAATCTCTCTTCTTTTTTTCTTCTTGCTCTGTCACCCAGACTGGAGTGCAGTGGCGCAACCTCAGTTCACTGCAACCTCTGCCTCTTGGGTTCATTCTTGTGGCTCATCCTCCCAAGTAGCTGGGACTACAGGCACACACCACCATATCTAGCTAATTTTTGTATTTTTAGTAGAGACAGGGTTTCACCATGTTGGTCAGGCTGGTCTCAAACTCCTGACCTCGATGGATCTGCCGGCCTCAGCCACCCAAAGTGCTGGGATTACAGGTGTGAGCCACTGCACCTGGCCTATTCATTTTCTGTTAACATGAGTGTTCCTGGTTCTTGGGCCTTTAGACTCAGATCAGGAATTATACCATCAGTACCTCCATTCTTGGGCCTTTGAACTCAGACTAAATTACATTATTGGCTTTGTTTGCTGGCTTGCAGACATCAGATTCTGGAACTTCTTGGCCTCCATTGTCCCATGAGCCAATTCCTATATTAACTCTCTCTCTCTCTCAACTCTAGAGAGAGAGTCTGTTTCTGTGGAGAATTCTTGCTAATGCAGCATTTTAAGAATTTAAACACGATCATGCTTCTGTAGCAGAAAATCCTGAGATTCTTTCCTTTGATGGCAGAGATTCAAAGTAGTTCGGTTCCACTGCACAGCTGTGACCACTGGGCTTTGTGAAGTCTCTCTCTCTAGAGAAACTTCATGCAGTTTCACAAAATTACTTTTGTCCTCAGGATGGAGGTTTATTGGTTCTCTGCACAACTGAGAAATCATCCCTTTTGGACTATGGAGAGTCTTGATTAGCCCTTCCAAATTAGTTTTTCCTTCTTCTGTTCAAAGTTTTAATCAGTACAGTTTGCCAGACATAAGGCAATATATCCAGAAAGTAGAATGCCACAAGTCTTTGCAGATAGCCATTTCCCAGAGAGCATATAATTTCTCACTTCATCTTATAAAGGAAAATGGTGGAGGAATGGAAACAAACATGTATTTAGACTTACTATGTTCCTGGTCCTTTGTGAGGGGTTTCATATGGAATATTTCACTGAATATCAGCAACACTTTTATGATGTAGATGACATTTTGGAAAGGCCACTTGAAGCCCAAAGAGACAGAATAACTTGCCCAAAGGTAACATTGTATGAAGTGATGAGACCTGGATTTGAATCTAGCTCTGATTCCAAATGGTTGCTTTTTGTATTACAGCTGGTTGCTGTCTACTCTCCTCCAATTAGGCTTGAGCTAAAACCAGGACTGGAATGATGCTAAATTCATGAGATTAATGTTAATGCAGTAGAATCACTCCTTTGCTATCTACAGGAGGAGATAGTATTAGTCTGTTCTCACACTGCTAATAAAGACATACCTGAGACTAGGTAATTTATACAGGAAGGAGGTTTGATTGACTCACAGTTCCACATGGCTGGGGAAGCCTCACAGTCATGGCAGAAGGTGAATGAGGAGCAAAGTCACATCTTACATGACAGCAGGCAAGACAGCTTGTGCAGGGGAACTCCCATTTATAAAACCATCAGATCTCATGAGACTTATTCATTACCGTGAGAACGGTATGGGGAAAACCACCCCCATGATTCAATTATCTCTACCTGGTCCCACACTTGACACATGGGAATTATTACAATTCAAGGTGAGATTTGGGTAGGGACACAGCCAAACTATATCACCCAGTATAAACCACCCAGCTCTAGTTTTGCTTCTGTGATGGAGAAACTATTTTCAAAAATTCCTCTGGGTGTATATTCTCCCATATTAATACATTTTTTATTTTTACTCTCTCTCTCTGTAGTCTTTTCTACCATTAAAGCAAATCAGTGACATTTATTGTCATAGTGAAAGGCAGATAGATATATCTGAAGTCCATAGGGCAGGAGAGAAAAAGGTGATACCTGGGAATATCACTTCTGGACAGGAAGGGGAAGTAGAAATTCTTCCTCGGTTATAGGGCAGGGACTGGATCCTTCAGCAACCAGGTATTCAGCCCTCAGGAGTTATATACCAAGCTGAGGAGGACAGGAACCAGTGAGAAGAAACAGAGGCTCTTCTACAATGCTGAGAGACTCCATAAATTTCCATGTGCACTCACATCTATAGGGAAAGATAAGGAAGACAGACAGTTTGGAGGAAAGAAACACTATAGGTAAGAAGTTAAAACTTAGATTGTGAGATATGAAATGCTATTTACCAGAAAAAATAAAATTACCTTATACAGGAAAATTCCAAGATTTCTTACCAGCTGCTATAAGTGAGGATAGAGCCTCCAGATTAGGACGAGAGAAATTATAGAAAGAGGAAAAGTCTACATTTGTAACACATCCTTCATTTATAGTGTATTAATTTTAGATAATGCTGTGCTTTCATAACTCATTCTTTTGAGTTATTAATAATGGCTCCTCTTAAAATACAAAGAGATTTTATGGGAGGCATTGAATGTAAAGCTATGCTAAGTATCAAGACCATGATATGAATCAGGTTATTGTGGCTCATTTCATGTACCTAGAAAGACCTGCAAGGATACGGAAGATACTGATATCATAGTGTCATGGTCTGTGGGGTAAATCCCTGATGAGAGAAGACAGGACTAGGAAAAACTCTGTTTTATAGAAACCTAAGTCAAGGCCCAAAAAGTGGACACCTGGGCCTTGGGTGCTTGGGAAAGGCTGCAGAGAGGACAAGGAAAGGTGTGCCAGGAGGTGGGGTTTGGGGAGGGACCCGCGAGCAAAATTCTCCTTAGCTCATCATGATATTGCAAAAATGTGTGAATTTTGGCTCCAGACAAATCTGAGATTAGATTCTCCCTGGCCACTGGTGCCTGGTGCCTTTGGACAAACTCATCTGCATAAAGGGACAGCATTGCTGGAGGATGTTGTGAGAATTAAATGAGAAAACATTTGTTAAATGCCCAACACTATGCTTGTCACATGGTAGCTACTGTGCCCATAACTGTAGATTTAATGTCTGAAAGTGAGGGCTACACTAATTTGCTCTGGAGGTTTCCCTGAGCAGATGGCAAATAAGAAGTGTCAGAAAATGAATGATATACTCTATGTCACGGGTGGCCCAGAAGCATGTGGTGGCACGTGTGGTTTATATCTCTTTATGAGTGTTCTGAGTCACTCTGAACCCAAGTGACAGCTGTGTGTAAGCAATTACTGCTGGCAGGCTTACTGGTCTAGAAAGCCAAACAGCAACAACAATGCCCACCCCCCAACTAAAAAAAAAAAACTTCCCAAATCTCATTACCATTAGGACTTGTTAGCTGTGTACCTTTCTGTAAAGATGATTTGATTTGTGGCTCCTCCAGCTGATTTAACTATGGCTTTGCCAGTCTGTCATTTCTATTAAGTTAGAGCAAAAATCTTTCAAGTGTCAGCCAGGGGAATCCATCTGGAGTTCTGCAGGTCCTGGCAGCACTAAGAGGGAGAAAAGAGGAATGCATGCTTTCTTCCTGAGACTGTGACTTAGTCCACTGGTGTTGCTGTAACAAAATACCTGAGACTGGGTAAGTTATAAAGAACAGAAATTGATTTCTCACAGTTCTGGAGGCTGGGAAGTTCAAGGTCACGGTGCCTGCATTCAGTTCTGGTGAGGGTGGCTCTCTGCTTCCAAGATGGTGCTTTGTTGCTGCGTATGGCAGAAGGAAAAAAGAGACCTAAGTTAGTTTCCTCCATCCCGGTTACAAGGCACTAATCCGTCCGTGAGAGCAGATCCTTCATGACTCAATCACTTCCCCATAGGCCCCATCTTTTAATACTACAACAACGAGGACTACATTTTACCACAAATTTTGAAAGACAGGCAAATTCAAACCATAGCATTCTGCCCCAGTCTCCCCTAAATTTGTGTCCTTCTCACATGTGAAATACATTCATTCCATTCCAATAGCCCCCCAAATCTTTACTTATTCCAGCATCAACTTAAAACTCTATGTCCAAATTCTAAACTAAATATCATCTAAAATATCATCCAAAATATCATCTAAATCAGGTACAGATGAAACTTGTGGTATGATTTCTTTAATTCAAATTCCTTCTCCAGCTGTGAGCCTGTGAAATAAAGCAAGGTACTTTTAATATACAGTAGCGGGACAGGCATCAGATAGACATTCCCATTCTAAGAAAAAGTAACAGAAAGGCAGAAAGGGGTAATAGGTCCTGAGTAAGTCTAAAACGCAACAAGGCAAACAACATTCAATCTTGAGGCCTGAGAATAATATTCTTTGACTCCACGTCCCTTATTCCAGACACACTGGGGCAGGGGTTGGGTCCCCAAGACTCCAGGGGATCCTACTCCCGTGGATTGTCTGAGCTCAGCTCATGCTGAAGCTGTTATGGGTTAGAGTCAAGTGGCTGTGGCTCCCCAAGGCTGTCACTGAACACTGGTGGCCCTACATGTCTCAGATGTCACAGGTCACTCCAACCTCATGCCTCTGCTGGGCATTGCTCTGGTGGGAATTTTCAGTGGCAGTCTTCTCCTGGTAGAAGTTCTCTGCCTATTCTCCAAGGCTCTCCAAGGCATCTTTTGAAACCTAGATGGAGGTAGCCATGCTTCCACAGCTCATGAACTCTGTGTGCCTGCAGAGTTAGCATCTCATGGATGCCACCATGTAATACAGCTTGTACCCTCCTGAGTGGCTTGAGCAACAGCTAGGGCAGCCAAGAAATGCTGCACCAGAATGCAGGGAGCAGAGATTTGAGGTGGCCCTGGGCAGTGAGGCCACAGGCACCTTGGTCCCTCTTTTGAAACTGTTCTGCCCACAAGGCCATGGCACTTTGGGCCTGTGACAGTAGGGTATCCACAAAGATTTCAGAAATGCCTTTGGGATCATTCTTTCATTGTCTCGGTGAATAGCGCCTGGCTTCCTTCTATCCATACTAACCTCCATTTCAAACAGTTGCTTAGCCACATCCTTAATATTCACTCCAAAACACACTTTCTCATTCTTTACGTGGCCAGGCTGAGAATTTTCCAAATCTTTAAGTTGTGTTTCCATTTTGATAATAAATTCCATCTTTAATTAAGTTCTCTCTTTTTACATTTTTCTATAAGTAGTCAAGAGAAGCCATGCAGCACTCAGAGTGGTTTGTTGAGAGACTTTTCATCAAATATTCCAGTTCATTGTCCTCAGGTTCTGCCTTCCACAGAGTACCAGGACATGGATAAAATTCAGCCAGGTTATTTGCCACTTTATAACAAGAATGGCCTTTCCTTCAGTTTCCTATAAGATATTCCTCATTTTCAAATAAAACCTCAGCAGAATGGACTTTACAGTCCATATTTCTACCAACATTCTGATCATGACCACTTAGAAAATCTCTAAGAAGATTTAGGCTCTTCCTACAGCTCTCTTCTTCTAAGCCATCATTAGAATTGCCCTTCATTCACAACAATCTAGGCTTTTTCTAGCACGCACCTCCAAACTCTTTCAGCCTGTAGGCATTACCCACTTTCAAAGCTGCTCCTCATTTCCAGGTGTTTGCTAGATAACACCCCACTTCTGGTACGAGTATCTGTCTTGGTCACACATTCAAACCACAGAACTGTGATTTACTCTTCTATCAGAACCCTTTGTTCTACCACTTATTTCCTGTTTAGAAGTGAAAGAAATAGACCAGACTGGAATGTAAACTTCGAGTTTATGAGAAAGGGTGATTTGGATTTTCTTCTTGTGCATATGTAACCCAAATATCTCTGACTCTCTGTGCATTTACATTTGCTGTTGCTCTTGCCAGCACCTGATTTAGGTAAAGTTTTAGCTGTTGTCCCAGCCTAACTGCCCATCTCTTCTGTCCACTGCATACTCCCCCACCCCCTACCCCTATTTATGTCTCAAAGCAGTCAGAGTACTGGAATTTTTTTTTTTAAGTTCGAAGGAGGAAATTGAAGAGGACATTGCACACAATATTCCGCTTTTGCTCTTTATTTAAAGGTGTTTTCCACATGGCAGTTGCACTATTTCTTTCTCTTTTCATTGTTCCTCTTCCTTACCATAAACCTCCTACTCATTCACTTGAGACCATGAACTCCAAGTTTTCCTCTCTCTTCTACATCAAACTCCCCAAGTACTAGCATGTACACCTAGAAAAGAGCACTTCTAGCATGCCTTGGTTTCTCTTATAAGTGTATTTTAAATTTTTTATTTATATTATTCTATGTAATAAATGCTAATCAAATTAGAAAGAGAAAATAGGCAGCTATGTGATAAATACAGACCAATATAAACTGCTGGAAAAGCCTACCATCTATGTTAGAAAAGTGCTTGCAAAAATAAATGCTGTTTTGAGTGGAAAATGCAGCTCTATAAAGGAATCACTTCTCAGTTAAAGGATCAGAGTTGAACGTTGCCAAGGTTGGGTCTTGGGATGAATACACCCAGAGGAGAAGCCTGTCCTTCAGGCCAAGGCATGCACACATTTCAACTTCCAGGAGAATTGACTGATTGATATGGTGAGGGGACAGGAATAGAAGCTTGATACTATTGCCTCAAGTCTGGACAACTCTGTGGTGCCATTCATATGCCTGTCTGCCCATGGCATCAGGCTGGGTTTACACTTTAGGTGAAACTACAACTTTACTGAACTTCTTTCCTCTGCCCAATCCTTTGTCTCTCATTTCTTTAGAGGGTCCTTTTGAGGAGGATCCCACAATAAATCACAGCACAAGAGTCCCCATCTCAGACTTTTGGGAAACACAATGTAAGACACTCGCTGTGGTATATGCAGAGTGATGGAGTGGTCAGCCAGCTGGGCTGTGACTTATTGGTCAGTGGTCAGATCCTTGCAATTTTTCCCTGTGGTTGTGGTTTTTACTACTAGATTGATGGTTATATGTGGTATATTGCAAAAATGACCACCACTTTCTCTCTTTACTTCATGAGATGGCATCTACTTGTCTATTTATTGAGTTTGGACTGGCCAAGTGACTTGTTTTAACTAATGAGACATTAGCAAACAAGGAAGTTGGGAAAAGCATGCGCACATCGAGCTTGCTCTTTTGCTGTTCTTGGAATCCAGAGCTACTATGTGAGGCTAACCTGCTGGATGAGAGGCACAAGCCCATTATCCCCATTGTCTCCAGAAGCAAAGCTGTTCAACTAAACAGCACTGTACCTTAGATACATGAGGAAGCTGATATCAGCAGAACCATGCAGTCCAAATTGCTGACCCATAGAATCATGAGCTAAATGAATGTTTATTATATTAAACCACTAAATTTTGTTTGTTAGGTAGAATATGCTGATTGATACAGTATAATAAATTGTGATGGATCATATTGTTTTATGCATTTTTGCAGATAGCTACTTTAGGCTCAAATTGCTGCCATGCAAATATATGGAGCATGATGTATGCATTAAAAATATAAGTGTGCACACACACACACACACACACATATATGCTGCAAAAATGTCTTTTTAAATCAATGTGTTTTCTTGATATTTAGACAGATAAATGTTGGAATTACCACTAACTTACCTACTTAGGTAAACAACTTATACGGCAGAATGAAGGAAAAAAATCTTACATTTATTGAGTGCTTTCTGAGTGTTAGGAGTCCCCATCTTAGACTTCTGGGAAACACAGTCTAAGACACTTGCTGTGGCATATGCATAGTGATTGAGTGGTCAGCTGGGCTGTGACTTACGGGTCAGTGGTCACATTCATGTAATCCTTCCTTTGTGGTTGTGGTTTTTACTACTAGATTGATGGTTACATATGGTGTATTGCAAAAATGACCACCACTTTTCGAGACACCATCACTTGTGATGGTGAATGACTTCTTGCGAGATCTGGATGTTTAAAAGTGTGAAGCACCTTGCTCTCTCTTGCTCCTGCTTTTGCCATGTGGCATGCCTGCTCCCCCTTATCCTTCTGCCATGATATGATTTGGATCTGAGTCCCCGTCCAAATCTCATGTCAAATTGGAATCCCCAATGTTGGAGGTGGGGCCTGGTGGGAGGCGATTAGATCATTGGGGCAGTTTCTCATGGTTTAACACCATTTTCCTTGGTGCTGTCATCATGATAGTGATGAAATTTGGCTGTTTAGAAGTGTGTACCACCACACACCCCCTTCCTTCTGCTCCAGTCATGTGAAGTGCTGGCTCTCCCTTTGCCTTCACCATGATTGTAAGTTTCCTGAGGCCTCCCCAGAAGCCAAGCAGATGCTGCCATGCTTCATGGACAGCCTGCAGAACTGTGAGCCAATGAAACCTCTTTTCTTTATAAATTATTCAGTTTCAGGTATTTTTTACAGCAATGTGAGAACAGAATAATATATGCCATGACTGTAAATTTCCTGACGCCTCCTCAGAAGCCAAGCAGATGTCAGCATTATGCTTCCTGTATAGTCTACAGAACCACGAGTCAATTAAAACTCTTTTTTTAATAAATTACTCAGTCTCAGGTATTTCTTTATAGCAATGCAAGAATGGCTTAATACACATGGTCAGTGAGTTATATCTATTTTTACAAAAGAGGAAACTAATGCTCAGAGAAGGAATGTAATTTGCCCAAGGTGTAGATAGCAGATGGATTTGAAGGTAAGTTTGCTTGAATTCAAAGACTATCATCAGGTACCTCCTGGAAATGTAGGCTTCTTGTCACACTATGTACCTTTCAAAACACTATGGTTGGACAAATCTATGCATACGATTTAATATTCTTTTAATCTTGGCCTCCAAGTCTTATATGGAGCTTCAGATCCATAAGAAATTTCTGAGCAATTATTATTTCCACATTTCAGTTTAGAACAGCATTTCCCAGTCTTTATATTAGGGGACAGACTTCTAAATTTTCAAATATGCCTTTCAGTCCTCTGTCTTCTAAACTATATCCTCCAGCATAAACTACATCCTCAATAAAACCTATTACATTTTATACAAATATTTCTTCTGCACCTCTTTGTGTCAGTCTGTGTCCTAAGCTCTGGAGAGGCGAAGAAGAATAAAATAGTCTATTCTTTCAAGGAGCTCACATTTTAGTGAAGACAAAAAATATACACGTAATTTTTTAAAACCACACACAACTCATAAATGAAATATGGAAGTGTTAAATGGAATACTAAAACTAGTCTGGTGAATGAAGGGGTAAAGTGATCAGAAAGTTTTCTTGGAGGAGGCAATATCTAAACTAAGTCTCAAAGGAGTTCACCTGGCTGGGTGGGGTTGAGTGGGGTTGAGTGAGTACAGTAGACAAGGGTCAATAAATACTATAATGTATAACCTCTCAAAGTTCAGTAGCCAACATAGTAAAAGTTTATTTGTTGTTCATGTTAGAGTTTGATGCAGAGGTTTCTGTTGAGAGGATGGGTGTGAGACTCTGTCCCTAAAGTCATCAAGAGATCAAGGCTGACAGTTGGTCTGCATCTTCGACACAGACACCTTCTGATGTCTCATTGACATCCAGTAGGGAGAGAAGACAGGATGTAGAGGGCACATGTGCATCTTAACCTCTTCCCTATGCATCACTTCCTTGAAGGCTGCATTGGTGAGCCTAACCACATGGCCTGACCGTGAGGATGGGGACTTTGTTTTGCTAACTGCTATATTCCCCACAAAAGGAGCAGTAAACACATTAAGTGCACAAGAAATGTTTGTCAAATTTATCTGTGATTGAATGTATCTTCACACTGTCAGTACAGCGCCCACCACACAGTGCCATTCTATAAATTTTCGTAGAAATATAGTTTTCTATCTTTTCTTTTTACCTATGTTAAATCTTATTAAATTGTACTAAAAATCTAACACACTGGAATATATGAACTTCTCAGTTATGAACCCAAGAACTATGACAGCTTAGAAAAATTCTGGGAAATATTTGTTTGTATGGGCACCAAAGTGGAACTGTAGCTCTATCAGCAATAGAATCCTTCCTTCTCTCTCTTCCTCCCTCCCTCCCTCCCCACCGTTCTTTCTCTCTCTTCCTCCTTTCCTTTCTTCCATTTCTATAGACCTGAACATATTCCATAGTGCTTCTGTCCTATGTGTTTGGGGGAATACAGAGATTTGCTGGACACAACTTTTGCTTTACAGAAGGAATCTAGACACATCACCGAGAACAAGAACACAAGGCAAGCAGTGACAAACACCACATTAGAGACACAGATAGAACCACCTGCTTGCCTAGTCTATGTGGCTGAAGAGGGGCTGGCTCTAAAACACCTCCCACATCAGCTGTACCTTTTCCCCATCTGGAGTATCGGGTACACCTACAGTTCAGGTGCCACACTCCACTTCTAGTTCCAGTGAGAAGAAAGTGGCAGAGGAGATGACTGGGTGAAAGCCTTCTACAGGCAAAGCCATAATTTTCACATCAACATCATATGCTTCCCAAGGGATGTTTCTTGTCATCAATATGTATCTGAAAGCAATACTTCTCATGAACCACCTTCTTGGTTGCCAGGCCCAAGGATTAGAATTGCACATATCAGAAGGACAATTTTCACTCCCTTTAAAAAGCAAATTAACTATAATGCATATAAATAGCTGTTCCCACAGAGGCAGCTGAGTTTGGAGGACATAGTACCAGCAGGGGTTATTGATATTTTTATGTGATCAGGAAAACTGCCTTAAACAAACATTGCTTCCTAGTGAGATATTCATCAGTAAAGCCGTCATGTCAAAAAGGCCCAAGTTCTCAAGAACCTTGTATTACATGTTTCATGCGCGTCCATGTGAAGAGACCACCAAACAGGCTTTGTGTGAGCAGTAAACCTTTTAATCACCTGGGCGCAGGCGGGCTGAGTCTGAAAAGAGAGTCAGCAAAGGGAGATAGGGGTGGGGCCGTTTTATAGGATTTGGGTAGGTAAAGGAAAAAGGGGGGTTGTTCTCTGGCGGGCAGGAGTGGGGGGTCACAAGGTACTCAGTGGGAGAGGTTTTGAGCCAGGATGAGCCAGGAGAAGGAATTTCACAAGACAATGCCATCAGTTAAGGCAGGAACAGGCCATTTTCACTTCTTTTGTGGTGGAATGTCATCAGTTAAGGCAGGAACCGGCCATCTGGATGTGTACGTGCAGGTCATAGGGGATATGATGGCTTAACTTGGACTCAGAGGCCTGACATTCCTGTCTTCTTATATTAATAAGAAAAATAAAATGAGATAGTGGTAAAGTGTTGGGACGGCAAAAATTTGGGGGGATGGTATGGAGAGATAATGGGCGATGTTTCTCAGGACTGCTTCGAGCAGGATTAGGGGCAGCATGGGAACCTAGAGTGGGAGAGATTAAGCTGAAGGAAGATTTTGTGGAAAGGGGTGATATTGTGGGACTGTTAGAAGAAACATTTGTCATTTAGAATTATTGGTGATGGCCTGGATACAGTTTTGTATGAAATGAAAAACTAAACAGAATAAGAGAAGGAGAAAAACAGGTATTAAAGGACTAAGAATTGGGAGGAACCAGGACATCTAATTAGAGAGTGCCTAAGGAGGTTCAGCATAGCCTTGCCAGCAAAGATTATTTATTTACTTTAAGAGTTAAGAGTGGTGGTTTGGGGATAGCACCAGGAGATATCAGCTGTGACAGCTTGGAGAAACAGTGTAAACTGGCAGTGTAAACAAGAGCAGGGCATGTATGAGTAGTTGAGAATGGTGAATAGGAGTATGACTAGACAGAAGACAGTAGGGATGACAAGTTTTTTGGGACAAAGTCCAAGTTGGTCTGGTGTCTGGAAAGAGACTACGACCTAAGAAAAAGGAGCATCTATACGGGAGCTCAAGTGGGCTGTACCTTGTAGCATTCTGAGGACAGGCCTGAATTCTGAGAAGGGAAAGTGGTAAAAATATTGTCCATTCCTTTTTAAGTTGGTGGCTGAGCTTGGTGAGGTGTGTTTTTAAAAGACCTTTAGTCTGTTCTACTTTTCCTGAAGACCGAGGACTGTAAGGGATATAAAGGTTTCAGTGAATACCAAGAGCCTGAAAAACTGCTGGGCTGATTTGACTAATAAAGGCTGGTCTGTTGTCAGACTGTATAGAGGTGGGAAGGCTAAACTGAGGAATTATGTCTGACAGAAGGGAAGAAATGACTGCGGTGGCCTTCTCAGACCCTGTAGAAAAGGCCTCTACCTATCCAGTGAAAGTGTCTACTTAGACTAAGAGGTATTTTAGTTTTTCTGACTCAGGGCATGTTGAGTAAAGCTAATTTGCCAGTCCTGGGCGGGGGCAAATCCCCGAGCTTGATGTGTAGGGAAGGGAGGGGGCCTGAATAATCCCTGAGGAGTAGTAGAATAGCAGATGGAACACTGAGAAGTTATTTCCTTGAGGATAGATTTCTACGATGGAAAGGAAATGAGAGGTTTTAAGAGGCGGGCTAGTGACTTGTACTATAGCATAGCTTGCCTTTGCTGGTGTGTGGCGATTAGGCCTGGTGGAACTGCCATCAATAAATCAAGCGTGATCAGGGTGAAGAACAGGGAAGAAGGAAATGTGGGGAAATGGGGTGAACGTCAGGTGGATCAGAGAGATGCAGTCATGAGGGTCAGGTGTGGTATCAGGAATAATGTGGGAGGCCGGATTGAAGTCCGGGCCAGGAGCAATGGTAATTGTGGGAGACTCAACAAAGAGTGGGTACAGCTGAAGGAGCCAGGAAGCAGAAAGTATATGCATCAGGTGTGAGGAAGAAAATAGATTAAGGAAATTACGAGAGCTGTAGAGAGTGAGTTGAGCATAGTTTGTGATTTTAAGGGCCTCTAGAAGTATTAGGGCGGCAGCAGCCACTGCACGGAGACATAATGGCCAGCTTAAAACAGTAAGGTCAAGTTGTTTGGACAAAAAGGCTACAGGACGTGATCCCGGTCCTTGTGTAAGAATTCCGACTGCACAACCCTGCACTTCAGCTGTGTGTAATGGAAAGGGTTGGGATGAGTTAGGGAGAGCTAGGATGGGGGCAGTCTCTAAAGCTGTCTTCAAGGAACGGAAAGAGGAGTGGGGAAAGGATTTAGGATCTATGGGGTCAGCTAAGTTTCCTTTTGTGAGTTTACATAATGGTTTTTTTAGGATGGCAAAACCAGGTATCCAAAGGTGAAAGTATCCAACCATGCCCAGGAAGGAAAGGAGTTGTTGTTTTGTAGAAGGGATTGGGGTTTGAGAGATTAGTCGGACATGATCAGCAGGGAGAGCACGTGTGTTTTTATGAGAATTATGCTGAGATAGGTAACAGATAAGGAAGAAATTTCGGCTTGACTGAAGTAATGGGGGCTGTCTGTGAAGCTTTGTGGCAGTACAGCCCAGGTAATTTGCTGAGCCTGATGGGTGTCAGGGTCAGTCCAAGTGAAAGTGAAGAGAGGCTGGGATGAAGGGTGCAAAGGAATAGTAAAGAAAGCAGGTTTGAGATCCAGAATAGAATAATGGATTGTGGAGGGAGGTATTGAGGATAGGGCAATATATGGGTTTGGCACCATGGGGTGGATAGGCAAAACAATTTGGTTGATAAGGCATAGATCCTGAACTCACTTGTAAGGTTTGTCTGGTTTCAGGACAGGTAAAATGGGGGAATTGTAAGGAGAGTTTATAGGCTTTAAAAGGCCATGCTGTAGCAGGTGAGTGATAACAGGCTTTAATCCTTTCAAAGCATGCTGTGGGATGGGATATTGGCATTGAGCGGGGGTAAGGGTGATTAGGTTTTAATGAGATGGTAAGGGGTGCATGATCAGTAGCCAAGGAGGGAGTAGGGTATCCTATACTTGTGGGTTAAGGTGGGGGGATACAAGAGGAGGACGCAAAGGAGGCTTTGGATTGGGAAGAAGGGCGGCAATGAGATGTAGCTGTAATCCAGGAATAGTCAGGGAAGCAGATAATTTAGTTAAAGTGTCTCGGCCTAATAAGGGAACTGGGCAGGTGGGGATAACTAAAAGGAGTGCTTAAAAGAGTATTGTCTAAGTTGGCACCAGAGTTGGGGAGTTTTAAGAGGTTTAGAAGCCTGGCTGTCAATACCCACAACAGTTATGGAGGCAAGGGAAACAGGCCCTTGAAAAGAAGGTAATGTGGAGTGAGTAGCCTCTGTATTAAGAAGGGGATGGACTTACCCTCCACTGTGAGAGTTACCTAAAGCTCGGCGTCCATGATGGTCTACGGGGCTTCTGAGGCAATCGGGCAGCGTCAGTCTTCAGCTGCTAAGCCGAGAAGATCTGGGAAGAAGTCAGTCAGAGAGCCTTGGGCCAGAGTTCCAGGGGCTCTGGGAGTGGATGCCAGGTGAGTTGAACAGTCCGATTTCCAGTGGGGTCCTGCACAGATGGGACATGGCTTAGGAGCAATCCTGGGCTGCGGGCATTCCTTGGCCTGGTGGCCAGATTTCTGGCACTTGTAGCGGCGTTCTGGGGGAACGCCTGGCCACTGCGGTTTAGGCGTTTGGAAGTTCTTGTGTGCTGGAGATGTGGCTGGGGTTTGTCTCACAGTGGAGGCAAGGAATTGCAACTCAGAAATATGTTGCTACTTGGCTGCCTCTACTCTATTATTGCACACCTTGAAGGCGAGGTTAATTAAGTCCTGTTGTGGGGTTTGAGGGCTGGAATTTAATTTTTGGAGTTTTATTTAATGTCGGGAGCAGATTGGGTAATAAAATGTATATTGAGAATAAGACGGCCTTTTGAGTTTTTAGGGTCTAGGGCTATAAAGCATCTCAGGGTTGCTGCCAAACAAGCCATGAACTGGGCTGGATTTTTATATTTGATGAAAAAGAGCCTAAACGCTGTCTGATTTGGGATAAAGAAAAAGGAGCATTAACCTTGACTATGCCTTTAGCTCCAGCCACCTTTTTAAGAGTAAATTGCTGGGCAGGTGGGGGAGGGCTAGTCATGGAATGAAACTGTAAGCCGGACCGGGTATGAGGAGGGGAGATGATAAAAGGATTATAGAGTGGAGGAGTGGAGGCTGAGGAAAAATTGGGACCTGGCTCGGCCTGGCGAGGAGGGGAGAGGTCAGATGGGTGTGTAGAAAAGGAAGATTAGAAAGACTCGGCGATGCTTGGGGTTGGGACTGAGGGGACAGGCGGGAGGGAAAGAAGGAAGATTTGGGACAAGTTGCATTGGGAACAGAGACTAGGGAGGGACTGATGTGTAAAAGAATGCCTGGACGTCAGGCACCTCAGACCATTTGCCCATTTTACAACAAGAATTATTTAGATCTTGTAGGATGGAAAAAATGGAAGTGCCGTTTTCTGGCTATTTGAAACCACTGTTGAGTTTGTATTGGGGTCAAGCAGCATTGTAGAAGAAAATAAGGCATTTAGGCTTTAGGTCAGGTGTGAGTTGAAGAGGTTTTAAGTTCTTGAGAACACAGGCTAAGGGAGAAGAAGGAGGAATGGAGGGTGGAAGGTTGCCCATAGTGAAGGAAGCAAGCCCAGAGAAAAGAGAGAGTAGAGACACGGAGGGAAGGGGTTCGGGGGTTCTTACCCTCCAGAAAAGTGGGAAAGGGGTCGGGGTGTGGAAATAACGTGTTGGGGCACAGAGATAGGATGTCAGGGCATGGAAATAAGGGATTGGGGCACAGAGATAAGAGATTGGGGTGTGGAAATTAGGGATCGGGGTGCAGAGATAGGAGGTTGGGGCATGGAAATAAGGGATTGGGGTACAGAGATAAGAGGTTGGGGCATGGAATAAGGGATTGGGGCACAGAGATAAGAGATTGGGGTGCAGAAATAAGGGATTGGGGGTTCTTGCCCCCTAGAAAAGCGGGACTTGCTGCTAAGGGTGAAGGAGAAGGGGTTGAGGGGTTCTTGTCCCTCCCCCAGAAAAGCAGAGAAGGGGTAGAGACACGGAGAGAAGGGGTTGGGGTACTTGCCCCTCCTCCAGAAAAGCGGGTCTTGCCGCTAAGGGTGAAGGACCAAGGCAGGCATCCCTGTGTGGTCTGACACCTCTGAAACATGGGTGAATAATCAGAGAGGCGTCCCTGCAATGATTAAACACCAAGGGAAGGCTGCCTTCCCAGTCCGTGACCAGCACCGGGGTTTTGGGTCCATGGATAAAATGTGTCTCCTTTGTCTCTACCAGAAAATGAAAGGAATTGAAATTAAGAGAAGGGAGAGATTGAAGTGTGGCACCAAGATTGAAAAGAGAAAGCAGTTGAGGGATAGTGAGGGAGGTTGGAGAGGAGAGTAAAAAGAGGCCGCTTACCAGATTTGAAATTGGTGAGATGTTTCTTGGGCTGGTCGGTCTGAGGACCTGAGGTTGTAGGTGGATCTTTCTCACAGAGCAAAGAGAAGGAGGACAGGGGATTGATCTCCCATGGGAGGTCCCCTGATCCGAGTCACGGTACCAAATTTCATGTGGGTCTGTGTGAAGAGACCACCAAACAGGCTTTGTGTGAGCAATAAAGCTTTTAATCACCTGGGTGCAAGTGGGCTGAGTCCGAAAAGAGAGTCAGCAAAGGGAGATAGGGGTGGCGCTGTTTTATAGGACTTGGGTAGGTAAAGGAAAAAGGGGGGTGGCTCTCTGGCGGGCAGGAGTTGGGGGTCACAAGGTATTCAGTGGGGGAGCTTTTGAGCCAGGATGAGCCAGGAGAAGGAATTTCACAAGACAATGTCATCAGTTAAGGCAGGAACAGGCCATTTTCACTTCTTTTGTGGTGGAATGTCATCAGTTAAGGCAGGAACCGGCCATCTGGATGTATACGTGCAGGTCACAGGGGATATGATGACTTAGCTTGGGCTCAGAGGCCTGACACATGGATCATGAAATTCTTCAGTAACTTGAGGAATATGATGTACTTGTAGTTCTGGGAATTTATACTCTGTAACAAGTAGTACAGGGCCCATTTATGGTTCCCAAGAGCACCAAGGTTAATGTCAAGTTAATGTCATTAGAAATAAATAAACAAGACTCCCACATTTATTTTTTATGAATAAAGGCAATTTCATCAGTAAGGCAATAAGGACAGAAAACGTATCTCGCTGACGTATTAGTTGAGTGGTTGTCTGCATTTTTAATTTCAAAGAAACTCAGAAAGAACATGGAATATCTTGAATTTTGATTATTCAGATAGCTGTAGAGGAGCCAAAACTCCACCTCCATCCTCTTTGGGTTCTGACTGGACCCTAAAGTTCAATCGATATAGACAGATTAACAGGAGAAAAGCATACAAATTTATTTAATACAAGTTTTACATGGCACAGAAGCCCTCATAAGGAAACGAAGACCCCAAAAAGCATCCAGAGTCACTCACTTGTATACTGAATTGGACAACGAACACTGTTGCAAAATGTAATAAGGCAAAGGGGCTTCGGCTAGGGTAGTTAATTGGGTAAAGAAGCGACTAAGAAGATAAGGGTTAGTTTAACAAGGTCAGCTTGTGGAGCTCTCTCTTGGCTTCAACTTTCTGTTCTCGATGATAAGAGCGTTGCTTTTATAGGGAGCTCATCTTTCACATGGGAATGCTTCCTCCTGCTTTTAAGAAACACAAAAATGGTCAGAGAGATTTTTTTGCACCTACTGTTTTTTAAATACCTTGAACAGCAATAATCATGATGCCAGAGCAGCATATTTTGGGGATGGCATATTCTTAACTCCTTCATCACCAAGAACTACATTGCAAGCATTTCAAAGAGGATCTTCATTGTTTTCATCTCTAGCCTCTGTCTACTCTTCCAACTGAGTTGTTTGACTTCTATTTTTATGATGTTGTTGTTTTCACTACGTGAGTCAAATTATTGGTGTCACTCATGAAAAGCCATCTAAATGGCATTTATTTACTTTAATGCTGATAGGAAATACAAATAGTAATCTGGCTGAAAAGAAATGTGTCTGTTTTCCTGCAAACTGCTGTATAATAATGGTCAGTTGGGAGGCAATGGGTAAACTGCAGTCATTCCTTCAAGAAACCCAACCTGCCTTCCATGGACCTACTTAGCAAAAGCAGTAAGAGCTGCCCATTCCTTGAACCTGTGTCTCCTGTGACTCTAAGATAATTCTTCCTGGAACTTGTTTCTCGGTTGTACTCTAATCCGGGGTACTGTTGAGATGCCCCTGAAGGTTCCTTAATAAACAGTCCAAAGGGACTCATTTTATTAGGATTAGAAAGTGAATCTACATTTAGGAGCCAGGCTAAATAATGACAAACATTCAGAGTCATATTTTTCATTTATTAGAATGACAACATTCTAGGTTATGTGGTGATTCAGAGATCTGAATCTGAATTTCCATTCTGCCACTTAACAGCTGTCTGACTTTGGACGTCTTGCTAAACTGCTCTGGGTTTCATTCAGGTGCTGACTTTTAAAGTAAAAATAAGAATGTTTTCCTTTTTGACTTCAAAGTATTTTTTATGATAAGAAATAAGATAACGAATGTAAAAATGACATTTAAGCTATAAAAAGCTATAAACTATTATTAAGATAATCCAATAAATAGGGTGCATGTATTATTGCTTATGTTTACATCTGTGTGGTGATAAATCCTATCTGCTCTATATTTTTAAAATAACTAAGACTAGAGAAAACAAACAACAATAACTTTTTGTCCCCATTATTTTTAGCTCCAGAAGTATGTTGATTTGGAAGCAAATCAACTTGATGCTTATTAGATCTCAATGACTGCTTGCTGTGTTAAAGTGGCTTGGGATAAAACTTGAGTTAATACTACTCAAGATTTCTCTTCCTCTCAAGAAAGAGAAGATGATCATTTTCAGAGACTGCACATTTGGAGACAATGTCTTGCCTCTTCATTAAAAGTTTGGACAAAATTTTCATGGACTTTGTGTTCAGAAAGCACAGACGTACAGACATTATGAGGGCAAATAAGTGTCTTTCACTGAAGAGAGCCTTTAGTGTGTCTCAATAAACTTCCTCAGTAAATTAATTTATTAACATTAATATTTAGATTCCTACATGAGATCAACAAACTGACTTTTTAAAAAATGAAAAGAATCAAATTTGGTCTACATTCCTCCAAATGATGAATTTTACTAGCTTTTAGTTACTGAAGTAACCAGTTTTGGGGTATCAGATAACTTCAGTCAGAATATAAATTTGGTAGAGCAAAGATCTGGCTCTTGATAAAGTAGGATAAACAAAGATACAAGCTCTTTAAAAAGAGGTCATTATATCCAGAGGATACTTGCATTCATATGTTTCTCACAGTGCTATTTACAATATCAAAAATATAGAATCAACCTAAGGGTTCATCAACCATCAACGGATGACTGGGAAAAAAATGTCATATAGGTGGCTGACAAGATGGCCGTATAGGAACAGATCTGGTCTGCAGCTCCCAGCAAGATCAACGCAGAAGGCAGATGATTTCTGCATTTCCAACTGAGGTACCTGGCTCATTTAATCAGGACTCGTTAGACAGTGGGTGCAGCCCCCAGAGGGTGAGCCAAAGCAAACCCAGGAAGTGCAAGGGGTTGGGGAACTCCCTCCCCTGGCCAAGGGAAGCCATGAGGGACTGTGCCATGAGGAACAATGCATTCCAGCCCAGATACTATGCTTTTGCCATGGTCTTTGCAACCTGCAGACCAGCAGATTCCCTCGGGTGCCTACACCACCAGAGCCCTGGGTTTCAAGCACAAAACTGGGCAGCCGTTTGGGCAGACACCAAGCTAGCTGCAGGAGTTTTTTTTTCATACCTCAGTGGCACCTGGAATGGGAGACAGAACCATTCACTGCCTTGGAAAGGGGATTGAAGCCTGGGAGCCAAGTGGTCTAGCTCAATGGATCCCACCCTGATGGAGCCCAGCAAACTAAGATCCACTGGCTTGAAATTCTCGCTGCCAGCATAGCAGTCTGAAGTTGACCTGGGACACTTGAGCTAGGTGGGGGGAGGGGCATCTGCCATTACTGAAGCTTGAATAGGCGGTTTTCCCCTCACAGTGTAAACAAAGCTGCCAGGAGGTTCAAACTGGGTGGAGCCCACCAGCTCAGCAAAGCTGCTGTAGCCAGACTGGCTTTCTAGGTTCCTCCTCTCTGGGAAGAGCATCTCTGAAAGAAAGACAGCAGCCCCAGTCAGGGGCTTATAGATAAAACTTCCATCTTCCTGGGACAGAGCACCTGGCGGCTGTGGGCACAACTTCAGCAGACTTAAAGGCTCCTGCCTGCTGGCTCTGAAGAGAGCAGCAGATCTCCCAGCACAGCGCTCGAGCTCTGCTAAGGGACAGACTGCCTCCTCAAGTGGGACCCTGACCCCCATGCCTCCTGACTGGGAGACAACTCCCAGCAGGAGTCGACAGACACCTCATACAGGAGAGCTCTGGCTGGTATCTGGCAGGTGCCCTTCTGGAACGAAGTTTCCAGAGGAAGGAACAGGCAGCAATCTTTGCTGTTCTGCAGCCTCCGCTGGTGATACCCAGGCAAACAGGGTCTGGAATGGACCTCCAGCAAACTCCAGCAGGCCTGCAGCAGAGAGGCCTGACTGTTAGAAGGAAAACTAACAAACAGAAAGGAATAGCATCAACATCAACAAAAAGGACGTTCACACAAAAACACCATCTGAAGATCACCAACATCAAAGACCAAAGGTAGATAAATCCATGAAGATGAGGAAAACCCAGCTCAAAAAGGCTGAAAATTCCAAAAACCGAACGCCTCTTCTACTCCAAAGGATTACAACTCATTGCCAGCAAGGGAACAAAACTGGATGGAGAATGAGTTTGACGAATTGACAGAAGTAGGCTTCAGCAGGTGGGTAATCAGAAACTCCTCTGAGCTAAAGGAGCATGTTCTAACCCAATGCAAGGAAGCTAGGAACCTTGAAAAAAGGTTAGAGAAATTGCTAACTAGAATAACCAGAATAGAGAAGAACATAAATAACCTGATGGAGCTGAAAAACACAGCACGAGAACTTCGTGAAGTATGCACAAGTATCAATAGCTGAATTGATCAAGTGGAAGAAAGAATATCAGAGATTGAAGATCAACTGAATGAAATAAAGTGTGAAGGTAAGATTAGAGAAAAAAGTGAAAAAGAACAAACAAAACCTCCAAGAAATATGGGAACTATGTGAAAAGGAGAACCTATGTTTGGTTGGTGTAACTTAAAGTGATGGGGAGAATGGAACCAAGTTGGAAAACAGTCTTCAAGATATTATCCAGGAGAACTTCCCCAACCTAGCAAGACAGGCCAACATTCAATTCGGGAAATACAAAGAACACCACAAAGATACTTCTTGAGAGGAGCAACCCCAAGACACATAATCATCAGATTCGCCAAGGTTGAAATGAAGGAAAAAATGTTAAGGGCAGCCAGAGAGAAAGGTCAGGTTACCCACAAAGGGAAGCCCATCAGACTAACAGTGGATCTCTCTGCAGAAACCCTACAAGCCAGAAGAGAGTGGGGGCCAATATTCAACATTCTTAAAGAAAATAATTTTCAACTCAGAATTTCATATCCTGCCAAACTAAGCTTAGTAAGCAAAGGAGAAATAAAATCCTTTACAGACAAGCAAATGCTGAGAGATTTTGTCACCACCAGGCCTGCCTTACAAGAGCACCCAAAGGAAGCACTAAATACAGAAAGGAAAAACTGGTACCAGCCACTGTAAAAACATAACAAATTGTAAAGACCATTGACACTATGAAGAAACTGCAACAACTAATGGGCAAAATAACCAGCTAGCATCATAATGAAAGGATCAAATTCACACATAACAATACTAACCTTAAATGTAAACAGACTAAATGCCCCAAGTAAAAGACACAGACTGGCAAATGGGATAAAGAGTCAAGACCCATCAGTGTGTTGTATTCAGGAGACCCATTTCATGTGCAAAGACACACATTGGTTCAAAATAAATGGATGGAGGAAGATTTACCAAGCAAATGAAAAAAAAAAAAAAAAAAAAGCAGGGGTTGCAATCCTAATCTCTGATAAAACAGACTTTAAACCAACAAAGGTCAAAAAAGACAAAGAAGGCCATTACATAATGGTAAAGGGATCAATGCAACAAGAAGAGCTACCTATCCTAAATATATATGCACCCAACACAGGAGCACCCAGATTCATAAAGCAAGTTCTTAGAGACCTACAAAGAGACCAAGACTCCCACACAATAAAAGTGGGAGATTTTAACACCCCACTGTCAACATTAGACAGATAAACAAGTCAAAAAATTAACAAGGATATTCAGGACCTGAACTCAGCTCTGGACCAAGCAGACCTAAGAGACATCTACAGAACTCTCCACCCTAAATCAACAGAATATACATTCTTCTCAGCACCACATCACACTTATTCTAAAATTGACCACATAATTGGAAGTAAAACACTCCTCAGCAAATGAAAAGAGGGGAAACCATAACAAAGTCTCTCAGATCACAGTGCAATCAAATTAGAACTCAGTATTAACTCACCCAAAACCTCACAACTACGTGGAAACTGAACAACCTGCTCCTGAATGACTACTGGGTAAATAACGAAATTAAGGCAGGAATAAGTAAGTTCTTTGAAACCAATGAGAACAAAGACACAACATACAAGAATCTCTGGGACACAGCTAAAGCAGTGTTTAGAGGGAAATTTATAGAACTAAATGCCCACGGGAGAAAGTGAGAAAGATCTAAAATTGACACCCTAACATCACAATTAAAAGAACTAGAGAAGCAAGAGCAAACTAATTCAAAAACTAGCAGAAGACAAGAAATAACTAAGATCAGAGCAGAACTGAAGGAGATAGAGACACAAAAAATGCTTCAAAAAAATCAATGAATCCAGGAGCTGTTTTTTTGAAAAGATTAACAAAATAGATAGACCACTAGCCAGACTAATAAAGAAGAAAAGAGGGAAGAATCAAATAGATGCAATAAAAAATAAAGGGGATATCACCATTGATCCCACAGAAATACAAACTACCATCAGAGAATACTATAAACCCCCCTACACAAATAAACTAGAAAATCTAGAAGAAATGGATAAATTCCTGGACACCTACAGCCTCCCAAGACTAAACCAGGAAGAAGTCGGATCCCCAAATAGACTAATAACAGTTCTGAAATTGAGGCAGTAATTAATAGCCTACCAACAAGCCCAGGACCAGATGGATTTACAGCCGAATTCTACTGTAGGTAAAAAGAGGAGCTGGTACCATTCCTTCTGAAACTATTCCAAACAATAGAAAAAGAGAGACTCCTCCCTAACTCATTTTATGAGACCAGCATTATCCTGACACTAAAACCTGGCAGAGACACAACAAAAAAAGAAAATATCCAGCCAATATCCCTGAAGAACATCAATGCGAAAATCCTCAGTAAAATACTGGCAAACAGAATCCAGGAGCACATCAAAAAGCTTATCTATCACGATCAAGTCAGCTTCATCCCTTGGATGCAAGGCTGGTTCAACCTACACAAATCAATAAATCACATAAACAGAACCAATGACAAAACCACATGATTATCTCAATAGATACAGAAAAGGCCTTCAATAAAATTCAACATCCCTTTATGCTAGAAACTCTCAATAAACTAGGTATTGATGGGACGTATCTCAAAATAATAAGAGCTATTTATGACAAAACCACAACGAATATCATACTGAATGGGCAAAACCTGGAAGCATTCCATTTGAAAACCAGTACAAGGCAAGGATGCCCTCTCTCACCACTCCTATTTAACATAGTATTGGAAGTTCTGGCCAGAGCAATCAGGCAAGATAAAGAAATAAAGCATATTCAAATAGGAAGAGAGGAAGTCAAATTGTCTCTGTTTGCAGATGACATGATTGTATATTTAGAAAACCCCATTGTCTCAGCCCCAAATCCCCTTAAGCTGGCAAGCAACTTTGGAACAGTCTCAGGATACAAAATCAATGTGCAAAAATCACAAACATTCCTTTACACCAATAATAGACAAACAGAGAGCCAAATCATGAGTGAACTCCCATTCACAATTGCTACAAAGAGAACAAAATACCTAGGAATAAAACTTACAAGGGATGTGAAGGACCTCTTCAAGGAGAACTACAAACAACTGCTCATGGAAATAAGAGAGGACACAAACAAATGGAAATACATTCCATGCTTATGGAAAGGAAGAATCAATATCCTGAAAATGGCCATACTGTTCAAAGTAATTTATAGATTCAATGCTATCCCCATCAAGCTACTATTGACTTCTTCACAGAATTAGAAAAAACTACTTTAAATTTCACACGGAACCAAAAAAGAGCCTGTATAGCCAAGACAGTCCTAAGCAAAAAGAATAAAGCTGGAGGCATCACACTACTTGACTTCAAACTCTACTACAAGGCTACAGTAACCAAAACAGCATGGTACTGGTACCAAAACAGAGATATAGACCAATGGAATAGAACAGAGGCCTCAGAAATAATGCCACACATCTACGACCATCTGATCTTTGACAAACCTGACAAAAACAAGCAATGGGGAAAGGTTTCCCTATTTAATAAATGGTGCTGGGAAGACTGGCTAGCCATATGCAGACAACTGAAACTGGATCCCTTCGTTACACCTTATACAAAAATTAACTCAAGATGGATTAAAGACTTAAATGTAAGACCTAAAACCATAAAAACCCTAGAAGAAAACCTAGGCAATACCATTCAGGACATAGGTCCTGGCAAAGACTTCATGACTAATTCACCAAAAGCAATGGCAACAAAAACCAAAATTGACAAATTGTATCTAATTAAGCTAAAGAGCTTCTGCACAGCAAAAGAAACTATCATCAGAGTGAACAGGCAACCTACAGAATGGGAGAAGATTTTTGCAATCTATCCATCTGACAAAGGGCTAATATGCAGAATCTACAAGAAACTTAAACAAATTTACAAGAAGAAAACCCCGTCAAAAAGTGGGTGAAGGATATGAACAGACACTTCTCTAAAGAAGATATTTATGTGGCCAAGAAACATATGAAAAAAAAGCTCATCATCACTGGTCATTACAGAAATGCAAATCAAATCCACTATGAGATACTATCTCATTTCAATTAGAATGGTGATCATTAAAAGGTCAGGAAACAACAGATACTGGAGAGGATGTGGAGAAATAGGTAAGTTTGTACACTGTTGGTGGGAGTGTAAATTAGTTCAACCATTGTGGAAGACAGTGTGGCAATTCCTCAAGGATCTAGAATCAGAAATACCATTTGACCTAACAATTCCATTACTGGGTATATACCCAAAGGATTATAAATCATTCTACTATAAAGACACATGCACGTGTATGTTTATTGCAGCACTATTCACAATAGCAAAGACTTGGAACCAACCCAAATGCCCATCAATGATAGACTGGATAAAGAAAATGTGGCACATATATCCCATGGAATACTATGCAGCCATAAAAAAGGATGGGTTCATATCCTTTGCGGGGACATGGATGAAGCTGGAAACCATCATTCTCAGCAAACTAACATAGGAACAGAAAACCAAACACTGCATGTTCTCAGTCATAAGCGGGAGTTGAACATTGAGAACACATGGACACAGGGAAGGGAACATCACACACCGGGGCCTGTCAGGGGATGGTGGGCTAGAGGAGGGATAACATTAGGAGAAATACCTGATGTAGATGACGGGTTGATGGGTGCAGCAAACCACCATGGCACGTGTATACCTATGTAACAAACCTGCACGTTCTGCACATGTATCCCATAACTTAAAGTATATTTTTAAAAAGTGCTTTTTGGTGCCCAAGGTCCGGAGGCGGCCGAGGTGGCAGGTGACTGGCATATCAGCACTGCCCCGTGTGTGCACACACCTGGCCGGGCTGTCAGTGCTGGGGCACGGCCCCAACCCTGCTCCGAGATCCAGGCAGGCGCCGGCAGTGGGGAGAGGCTAGGCAGCAGGAGCAGATACAAGCCTGCAAGGGCAAGGGGGTCCCCTGGGCCCCCGAGGGTGCAGAGTGCAGAGACTCCCGGGTCCTGCACCTGGGAGGGTGGGCTCCCACCTGCTCCGTGGAGCATTCAGGCAGCTCTGGTCAAGTCTCCTCACAGCCTGGGGCAGGGGCTCCAGGTCCTCACTGCACCCGGGTGGCACCTGGGGAAGGGATGATGTCGCCACAAATTCTTCCTGTGGCCCCGGCACTCGGGGATGGCCCGGGGCTTTCTCTCACCCTGCTAGCGACCCTGCCCAGTGGGAAAGCCTCCGGAGTAGATTGCGGGCCCCAGGCCCAGCCTTCGAGAGCGTCAGGCTCAGCGATCACTCCGATGCGGGGCAGAACCTGCAGTCCCGCGCAGAGCCTCCTCCCTCCCGAGGCGCAGGAACACGGTGCCATCGGCCGGGTGGGCGCGGTGGCCTGGCCGCCGGCTGGGTCCCCGAAGCGGGTGCCGCTTCCTCTTCCTGCCTCTGCGCCGAAGCCCGGCCCCAGCTCCTGGTCCCAGGCCTGGCCCCCCACACTCCGTGTGCAAGTGCGGCACCGCCCCAGGCCCGGCTCCCGCTGAAGTCCCCTGGAGGCCCGCCCCTCCCTCCGTGCTCGACTGCCCTGCTACCCCGCCGGCAGGTGCCTCAGCCCGGCCCCATCACTGCAGCCCCCAGGGCGGCGGGCTCCGGAGACGGTCTGCTCCCTCCGTGCACCCTCCCTGCAGCGGCGGCGGGCGACAACGGTGGCAAGTGGCCAGAGTCCGGAGTGGAGAAGGCCTGGAGGGGTGGGTGGGGAGTCCCGCTAGGTGGGATCCACCCTGCTGCAGGAGGGTGGGGGAGGTGTAGTCAGCTGCCTTGGGGACACGGCGCACAGGGGACGCGTGGCACAGGGCTCCCACTGCCGCCACTGCTGCTCCCACAGCGGCTCCTGCCGCCACCGCTTGTACCTTTCCGCTGCAGCCGGCGCGATGGCAGCGGCCGCTCAGGACTGCCTGCTGCTGCCGTATCAATATGACCCAGTCATTTCACTTCTAGGTGTCTAGAAGGGAAACGAAAGTACTTTTTCACAAAAAGACATTAATGTTTCTAGCAGCATTATTCATAATAGCCAAAAACTGGAAACAAATGTACAGTAGTGGTTAACTAGATAAACAAATCGAGCATAATTTTACAATGAGAGATTATTTGGCAATGACAGAACAACTAATACATGCCATGAAAATGATGAGCCTCAGATACAGGCTAAATTAAAAAGGCATGTGGAAAATGGGAACTATTGCATGATTGCGTTCATATAAAATGTCCCCCAAAGGCAAATATATAGAGACGGAAGGCAGATCAGTGGTTACCTGGGTATGTAGTCAAAAGGGGTATTGACTCCAAATGAACACAGGGAACTTTTAGGTAGATGATACAAACGTTCTAAAATCAGATTTTTGTGATGGCTGTACAACTATACATTTACTAAAAATCGTTAAATTCTGCAGTGCAGTGGGTGAATTTTATGGTACGTAAATTCTGCCTCAATAAAGTTATATATACATTAAAAAAACAGTAAGGGTAGTGGGTGAGGCAGAATAGATGGAACAAAATTGACATTGTATTTGCAGTTGCTGAAGCTGGCTGATTTATGACAGGGCCCATCCTACTAATTCTCCTACATTTATGCATGCCTGAATATTTTCATAATGAAAAAGTTTATTAGAATTTAATGCTAAAACAAAATCGATAAAACAAAAGCATTGGGCTTGGTGGCTCACACCTGTAATCTCAGCACTTTGGTAAATTAAGGCAGAGGAATCGCTTGAGCCCAGGAGTTTGCCACCAGCCTGGCAATACAGTGAAACCCCATCTCTATATTAAAAAAAAAAATTAGCCGGGTATCATGGCACGCACCTATGATCCCAGCTACTCTGGAGGCTGAGGCAGAAGGATCAGTGAGCTCAGGTGTTAGAGGCTGCAGTGAGCTGTGATCGCACTACTGCACTCCAGCCTAGGTGACAGAGTAAGACCCTGTCTCAAAACCAAACAACAACAACAGCAAAACAACCACATGAGCCTGACTTTCCACACTGCTGCTGTCTGAAGCGTAACTACCTCTCTTTAAAGAGACGCAATAGCAGCCCTCGAGTGTCTCATGAGATAAATCAACCATGAATTAACAAAGCCAATTCAATTTCACGGATTTTGATTGAGCATCAGCGATAGGCAGGGTTTTGTCTTGATGCTTTACATGTTTTTATTTCTTCATTTCTTCATTGGTTGAAGCAGATATTCATGTTGTGTTTAAAATTTGGTGATTTTTGCTCTTTTTCTCTGAACTTTTATTATTGTCAATAGCATAAATTTAGAAACACTCTGTTCTCTCTCTCTCTCTAGATTATCTACCCTTCCCGTATTTTGTCTGTAAATAATAGAAAATTTCACCTCTGTAATTCAAAACATCTAATGACTAAGTAAAATACTTTGTGATGTGGTAAGATAATTAGGTTTTGGAAAAAGTAATGAGTCCCATGAAGTGATGTCCAGTAGAGGCAGTAATTCATTGCTACCCTCTAACAACAAGGTCTCACTTTGTAAAGCTGATTTACTCTATCTTAAGAGGACCTGGGTGAATTCTGCCCATCAAAGGGCAATATACTCACTGAAGTAGCCAGTCCTAATTCTTGCTTCACCTATTTGAAAATCTTGAATGGAATAGAAAGAATGAGAAACAGTTTTAGAATGTTTTATATTACCTGCTGCCTGTGAAAATAGAATCACCTATAATAAGACACTTGGGATATTGCATGCATAGACTTCATAGAGATAATGTATTTGGGGAAGGTGGTTAGAACCAAGGGAAGGCTAAATTATTTCTCTTGACAGTCCCTATTGATTACCTGGCCCCAAATGGTAGTAACTTCTGGAATTTAGGAAAAATGTCAGAAAAATTAACATAAATTAAACATACTAACTCTGTATAACCAAACATAAAAGATAAAATTATGAAAGCTTCCAAAAGCTTATAAAAGGCATGGGAGAATCTCTGAAACATTTATCAAAAAAAGCTCAGGTGTTCCTGAAATTTCCACCCCTCTTACAGTACCTGTCAAAGAACAGGAGATTAGAACTGAATGTTGAATTTATCAGCATTAACAAAGACTAATGTAAGATAAACTGTTAGCCTATTAATGATGTTATGCCTCAGGCTATAACAATATACAAGTATTGTGATATGTTTAATCAAGGACAAAGAAAATTAAAGAGTGTGTGTGTGTGTGCGTATGTGTGTGTGTGTGTGTGTGTGTGTATCTAGTGACTAAAAAAAAGACACCATCCCTAAGAGATATGAGAATTTATGTTACTAGAAAAGTGGACTACATAGTAAAGTAGGAAAAATATTCAGGTTACCTCACAACCTACATGAAATGTCCTCCAAGACTCTCTTAATCTCTTTGCTTTATTTCGCCAAATAACCATCTGATTATTTAATCTGTATGGAAAAATCTTCTAACTTAGAAGGTACCAGGCAACACATACAAGCACATTGGTCATTGAAAAGACAACTTCCATTAAAAATTAAAATTGAAATTCTGCTTTGTAGATCAGTGTTTGTTCTCAATTTAGCCAGCATTAGTTGTGTGACCTTGAGAAAACCAATTCCCTGTGAAGAAAATCAATTTTTTCCCTTGTACAATTACAACATGAAATTCAGTCAGTATTCCCCCAACAGTCCCTCTCAGAACAAAAGTCTTAGCAAAGTGCCCAATCTATTAGAACAACTGGACATCCACCTGCAGTAGTGTGACTATTCTGTAACTATTCTATATGATATTGTAATGGTAAATACATGTTATTATGTAACTGACAGAACCCATAGAATGTACAACCCAAAGAGTGAACCCTAAACTATGAAATTTTAGTTAATAATAATGCATCAATCTTGGCTCATCAATTGTAACAAATGTACCACACTAATGCAAAATGTTAATAATAGGGGGAAGCTAGCGGTGGTGGAATGTGAAGAAGATATATGAGGCTGGGTGCGGTAGCTCACGCCTGTAATCCCAGTACTTTGGGAGGCTGAGGCGGGCAGATCATTTGAGGTCAGGAGTTTGAGACCAGCCTGGCCAACATAGTGAAACCCCATCTCTACTAAAAATACAAAAATTAGCCTGGCAGTAGTGGCACGCACCTGTAATCCCAGCTACTCAGGAGGCTGAGGCAGGAGAATCACTTGAGCCTGGGAGGTGGAGGTTGCAGTGAACGGAGATCGCACCACTGCACTCCAGTTGGGGGTGACAGAGTGAGACCTGCCTCAAAAAAAAAAAAAAGAAGAAGAAGAAGATATATGAGAACTCTGTTTTGTCCAAACTTTCTGTAAATCTAAAACTCCACATACACACACTATTAATTTTTTTTAAAGGTGCTCAATGTAAAAAGGATTTTATGGCCAAGTAATTTTTGGAGACGCTTCCTATAGTTTGTGATTTTCTTTGTGATTCATAGAGAATAGTAGTTATGACTGGAAAATTCTGCAGTAAAAAAGTATGCTTAATATTATTTATTCTAGCATTTCCTAAACTTATCTGGTCATGGACATTTTTCCCCCAAGGGAAAATGATTAACATCCTGGGGAACCAGTGTTTCAGGAGCATTCTTAAGATTCTTTCCAAATCTGGAAGTCTGGTTTTGTCTGTATCATGAACTTCTTTAGTAGAAATCAGACATCTCCAAATGATTCTATGGAATCAAAATGAGAGCCAGACTGTAGGCCCCAGTGGCTCCAGGAGAGCATAGTGGTGCCGTGTGAACTGTATTAGTCTGTTTTCACGCTGCTGATAAAGACGTACCTGAGACTGGGCAATTTAAAAAAGAAAGAGGTTTAATGGACTCACAGTTCCACGTGGCTGGGGAGGCCTCACAATCATGGCAGAAAGTGAAAGACACGTCTCACATGGTGGCAACCAAAAGAAGAGAGCTTGCATGGGGAAACTCCCCTTTATAAAACCATCAGATCTCGTGAGACTTATTCACTAACCTGAGAACAACATGGGAAAGACCTACCCCTATGATTCAATTACCTTTCACTGGCTCCCTTCCACAACAATGGGAATTGTTGGAACTACAATTCAGGATGAGATTTGGGTGGGGACACAGCCAAACCGTATCGTGAGCCCTACCTTTTCAGCTTGTCAGTGTCTAGTTTTACCACCTTTGAGAGCAAATTTCATAAATGCCTTTAAGAGAACTTAACAGGTCAGTTACTTATTAAAATATGAAAGATGTCATATTCATATCTAAGGTAAAGAAATCTAGTAGCAGTCCACATATCCCATTGGTTTTTTAAAAATTTCAGGGAATTTCTCAGTCAAAATCACTCCTAATGGGGAAGTTGAGAGGTCAAAGTTGGTGCTGCTGCTTGCATGAAAGGTGGGCAGCACGGCTGTGCCTCTTGAGAGCATTTGCTCAATAAACACTCATTTACTGACTTGCTGTTGATTGTTCATTGTGTTCATGTAAACAGTGAAGGGCTGGATTAAACTTACGCTAACACATTTTTTCACTTCAATGTTTATTCTGGCTTCAGAGTATGTAGTAATACTCCCTCTGACTCGAGGAAGAGGAGAAGTAATATTCCCCAGTCCTGCCTCTTCCCCTCCGCCACCCCCGCCCACAATTTTCCCAAGCTGAAAGCTTCCTTTAGAAATATCAGAAGAGTGTCAGTCAAGGCAAAAGTCCCCAGGTGTCCAGAGAAGGCCCTGGCATGACCACGGTGGCTTCTGTTCATTCTGTGCAGGACTTTTTTTTTTTTTTTTTTTTTTGAGACGGAGTCTTGCTCTGTCACCCAGGCTAGAGTGCAGTGGTGCGATCTCAGTTCACTGCAACCTCCGCCTCCCGGGTTCAAGCGATTCTCCTGCCTCAGCCTCCCGAGTAGCTGGGATTACAGGTGCCTGCCACTGCGCCTGGCTAATTTTTGTATTTTTAGTAGAGATGGAGTTTCACCATGTTGGCCAGGCTGGTCTCAAACTCCTGACCTCAGGTAATCCGTCCACCTCAGCCTCCCAAAGTGCCAGGATTACAGGTGTGAGCCACTGCAGCCAGCCTCTGTGCAGGACTTTTAAGGGACTTCCAGAAGCACCTTATGGCATCCTATCCTTTCAGTCCAGCTGCAGGACATAGCCACTTGGCCACTGGCAATGGCCTTCACCAAGTCCATGTTCCCTCTAGCCATTTCCAACCTTCTTGTGCTTGATCTCTTTATCTTGCTAATCCTTTGATTTAGTACTTGGCTTTTGACTCCAGGTTCAGGCTGTTTTCGCTTTGATGACATGTTGACTTAGGTGTCCATGGTTCTCACCCTCCAGCACTCTCCACTGGCATCTTGTCCATGCCTGGTCTTGACTCCATCCACCATAATCATGGGTAAGAGGTGCTCTTTTCGTTTATCCTCATTCTAAAGTATGCCCACTGGCCAGGGCCTCCGGCAAAGAACTAGAAAATATTTGATACCTGCCTCGTCACCTTTCCCCCAGTCTCCTGCACAATTTCCTGTGTGGAGAGGTTTAGGGATCCACTATGGAGCTTTGCAAATTGAAGCCTGACAGGGGCTGAGAGACAAAAGGAGAAACTCACAGTTATCATGTGCCTGTTGCACCAAAAGCTGTGCTTGTTTTTCATTGAATACTTATAACACCGCCGTTTCACAAAGGAGATAACTGAAGCTCACAGAAATTGACTTAAGTCTTCCATAGCTAGCAAGGGGCAGGACTACAATTTGAACATCACTGTAGTTGATTCCCAAGCCTATTTCTTCTCTCTCTATCTCAGTGCCTCGTTAGAATGCTTAATTCTAACATATAGACATGTGGTCCAAAGTATAGAGAAGCAAATATAATTAAACTTACGTTTCACATTATTTTTGTTACCACTTAATAAATGATCATGAATATTGGGCATATTCTTTCCTTTCCTCATTCATTCACTCAACAAATATCTATTGAGTAACTACTAACTATACGTCAGGCACTGTTCTAAGACCTTAGAATACCTCAATGAAAAGCATGGCAGAAATGCCTGCAAAGCTCCCATTCTAGTGTGTGAGGAATAGAAAATAAGCAATAAACACAATAATAAAAAAGAAAATTGTATAGTATATTGAAAGGTGATAAATGGACTGGAGAGAAGAAATAGGGCAGAGAAGGGTGTGGGTTAGGAGGTGATTCTATTTCTAAACAGAGTGGTGATTGAGAAGATGTCATTTGAACAAAGACTTGGTGGAAGACTTCCCAAGGACATTGGTGTGACTGGAGGAGAGTGAGCCATGTGTGCTAGGGGGAGGGACGGGGAGTAATACAGAGACACCAGCCTGTGAAGGCCATTGAAAGGGCTTTTTCTTTTACTTTACTAAAATAGGGAGCCATGAAGTGTGCTTGAGCAAAAGAGTGATGGATGTAATTTAAAAGGATTGCTGCACTGAGAACAAACTGAGATTGTCTGAACATCTAATTTATGGTTGCACATTCACTGTATCTCATTAGGTTAAGATTAGAGAGAATTTAACAAGATCAAGATAATGGCAAAAGTTCATTATGCTGAGATGGGCCACGGAGAAGAGCTGGCTGTAAGTTAAGCCTGGAATTAATGTAGTGATGGATGTAGGATCCAAGGAAAAGAACAGTAATTAGGAAAGAAAAGTATGGCCTCTGATTGGGGAATCTCAATTTATAAGCTCAGCCTGTCTTTTCAGTTTGATTTCCCGGATGCACATCTCTCTTTTCTCCAACTTGTGGAAAGATTTCAGCTTAAGAAATGAAATTTTCTCTAAAGATTTCATTTTTAGTTACACATTTAAATTCCAATATAAGTGACCAAAAAGAATACCACTTTGGGCCCAATTCATATTTTCTAAGCAGATGCCATTAGTTACATGAAAGTCTTTCAATATCTGCTGATTGATTCTCTTGTAGTCACTGTTTTCCTTCTCTTTTCACTTAACTAGTTTCACTTAAAGAATCCGACATAAGATGAATAGAATCGCTTTCCAAATAAATCTGAGAATTTTCTCTCTTGTCCTCTTTCGATCATACCGGTTCCCTTTCCTCCAACTTAGAATTCAGAGAGTGAAATAAGAGATGTTTCTCTCTTGAATAGCCAGACGTGTTGCTTTGATGCTAGTTTCCCTCTTATTTAAATGATGAATCTTGTTTATATTTATTAAATATAAATTAAAATATATTTAATGAGCACCCATTACATTTAAATCACCACGCTGAAGATTGAAGTATGAACATGAGCCAGGGATTGTGACACGCGTTATAGTCCCAGCTACTTGTGAGGCTGAGGGAAGAGGATTGCTTCAGCTCAGGAGTTCAAGGCCAGCCTGAGCAACAGAGAAAAAAGCCATCAAAAAAAAAAAAAGAAAAGAAAAAGAAAAGAAATATGAACATTGGCAGGCATACCCTCTGAGTTCAAAGAGCTCAAAAGCCAGTAGTAATCTCACGCCAGTGGGAACTTTGTCACTGGACTCTAGTTAAAGGGATTTTCTTTTTTTTTTTTTTTTTTTTTTTTAAATTTATTTTTTTATTGATAATTCTTGGGTGTTTCTCACAGAGGGGGATTTGGCAGGGTCATGGGACAATAGTGGAGGGAAGGTCAGCAGATAAACAAGTGAACAAAGGTCTCTGGTTTTCCTAGGCAGAGGACCCTGCGGCCTTCCGCAGTGTTTGTGTCCCTGATTACTTGAGATTAGGGATTGGTGATGACTCTTAACGAGCATGCTGCCTTCAAGCATCTGTTTAACAAAGCACATCTTGCACCGCCCTTAATCCATTTAACCCTGAGTGGACACAGCACATGTTTCAGAGAGCACAGGGTTGGGGGTAAGGTCACAGATCAACAGGATCCCAAGGCAGAAGAATTTTTCTTAGTGCAGAACAAAATGAAAAGTCTCCCATGTCTACTTCTTTCTACACAGACACGGCAACCATCCGATTTCTCAATCTTTTCCCCACCTTTCCCGCCTTTCTATTCCACAAAGCCGCCATTGTCATCCTGGCCCGTTCTCAATGAGCTGTTGGGCACACCTCCCAGACGGGGTGGTGGCCGGGCAGAGGCGCTCCTCACTTCCCAGTAGTTAAAGGGATTTTCTAATTATTCAACCTATAGCACGGTCCTGCAGAATTAACTGAATATGAAAGGAGCATTAACCACCTCTCCTTATTGCACTGGTATTAAGGAATAGGTGAAATAAGACTTTTGAAATATTTCCATGTCTAGATACATTATTGCTTGGAGTCACCTTTCACTCTTGGTGACTTTTCGTGACTTTTTTTTAACAAGATCATCCTGATCTTGTAAAATCCTACTAGAGTTTCAACTTGCAGGACTATCTTATATATTTGAATGATTTACGAATAAACCCAGTACATACAAATCCATATTTAAGTAATAATTCAATAACTAATCATTCATTTTTCCAAAAGATTCATAAATGAATACTCTGAGACAAGATCTTCTTAAGCATTAAAAAATACGATTCAACCCTTTAAATATTCATAGTGGACACACTCCTCTCTAGGGATACAGGTATTAGAGAGAGGTATAGTTATACCTGGGATATAGTATTAACTCCTATTAGCTCTGCAAGGTGAAAAGATAACAGCATTAAAATTGAAGATTCTATGAATATAAAATCTGTATCACAGAGACTGAAGGCAGTGCATTGTATCATATAGAGGAAGACAAGGAGAAATTCATTGTCCTTCCTCAAGGGCACACTGCGAAGAAAAAGGAGCTGTACTTTTCCACTTCCTCCAACAAAAGGGACAGCTTTTAGATGATACTGTATTTTCTTAAGGTCTCTCCTATTTTCTGTGATTGTGTTCATTTTTGTGTGTGAAATAGTTAAACATACTTGTGGTAAATGTTACTTATACATAATTTTATCTATTTGCATCTATTTTCTCTCTGTCTTTTTCTATAGATATCTCTTTGTGTATATATACAGCATAAAAACTCTGTTCAAGATATGTATTTTACCCAAAAATCTATCCATTTCTAATTCTAGCCCGCTCTGCAATCTAGTGTTGTAACGCATAAATCACTTCAAAAGTGAAAGAGGATTATGGGTCTCTTCCACTTTTCCATATATCATATTTTAGGCCACTTCAACAAATGAAATGGCAAAGTCACTGTTGCTGTCCTAGAGACTGCAGGAAATAAACACACCATGTACGGGCATGCACACACACACACACATGCACACACACACACACACACACACACACCCCTCTGCCTTCTTCAAGTTTATCATCAATTGATGAGACAAAAACTAAATACGTGATCTAATCACTTGACAAGGCCAGATTCAGATAAAGCTGCTCTGTCTGCAAAAAAAAACAGAAGACACAGGGCACAGCAGGTGAGAGCAGGTGCCTGGATGTCTTGGTATTTCCAAGTAGCAACACCCTCAAACCAATTTTATCACTAGTGTCCAGAAGCAGACACTTCCCTTTCTTCTTTTTCATGCTTTTACTTCATTTGGAAGGAAAGAACCCTGCCTAGCTCCTCCTCTGAAAGATCCACCGGCAAGTCCAGGTGTCTGCGGAGCTAGTGCCCCTCAGGTGTCTGTGTCTTCAACACACTTGGCTCTAGGGCCCTTGCAAACAACATGACTCAGCCCTGAATAAAGGTATGCCTCCCTGCAGACTTCCAGCCCCACTTGGACCCCTCAGGGTGTGAGAGGTCACGAAATGCTCACAATGCATCAACTTCATTTATCCCATGAATGCCATACATCATCTTTTAATTGAAGGGAATTGTAGGGGAAAAACATTAACAAAATATTTAAACTGAGAGAGTGCCTCATTTTCAAAGAGAGCAGGTGTCACAATTTTAGAGGACCTGGTCTCTCAGCCTCCACCAACGGCACTGCTGAATGGGTCCCCAAGGTGATGCAAGTGAAAAAACCCATTTGACTTACCTGTAAGAATCCCATCAACCACCTCAGTCAGTCATCTCTTTCCCATCCCCAGGAGCTACTTAGGTCCTGAAGCTATGATCTTACTGTGGTGATTTAGTGGCCTGAAGGAGCATTTGACAGTGATGACACAGCCTTGGCTCTGAGATGAAGCATATGGCTCGGGAGAGCCTGACTCATTATTTTCTGATAATGTTTACATGTTAAACTGTCAACTCAGATCTAAAATATCACATGTTCTGTGGTGGCATCTGCATGTGGCTGTGACTCAGTACTGGAGCTGTGGCTCCGTACCAAGACAACCAGAAGGACACATCTGGTTACCACATTGGAACAACTATGCCACAGCTGTGCCATGGCTACAGGCACCTGGACTTGCACTGTAGTTCTCCTTTTGGTCCTCTGTGGTGCAGTTTTACCTCAATAATAGATTAAATGATTAAAGTGATTAAATAATAAAAAGAACCAACTTCTGTGTCACTCGGATCTAGGTTCAAATCTCAGCTCCACAACTTAGCAAATGTGAGAACCTGAGCAAAGTACCTAGGCTCTGAGCCTCAATTTACTCATCAGTAAAATGGGGATGATAATATACCCATATCTTATCATATACCCATGTATATCATAGTTGTGTCCCATATCAATATTGTGAGGAATAAATTAGATCATGTACCCAAGCTATTCTTCATGGACAATATCATGATTGGAGTGTAAGAAATGATGGAATTATCAGTGGCAAATCTGCATTCAAACACCTTTCTGTGAGCTGCGTTATAGGGCACTGTATTCCGGCAGATTTACTTAGTAGCTGCAGCTGAATGCATTATACCTGAAGTGGACTTTCTACCTGAAAGAGGATGCAGCAAATAAGATTCAAAAATGTGGAATTGGCTGAGTGGAAGAGGTGGGGCTTTGGATAGTGAGGTCTCAGGTATTTCAGGCTGCAAATCTGGTGACCCTTCTTATGTGGTGGCCGAACATTTGGTCAGATTGTCACCCGCTGTTCTTTGGGATACAGACCATGTGCCGTGGCAGCTTTGCTATTAGGATAAATAGTGGAAAAAAATTCAGAACCCTGGCATATGGCTATAGATTTTTTTTTTTTTTTCTGAAGGAGTGGTCTGTACTTCGATCCAAGTTAGCCAGTCTGCAAGAGGAAATGAGAGATCAATGCTTTACCTGTGGCCTGCATTCTAAATTCACTGACAATCCTATATTTTGGGTACTGCTGAGTTTTAAAAAAGAAATTTATTCCTACTAAACTGAGCAGGCAAGGACAGTGACAGGAAGCCTGGAGCCTTCATAGATTGGTAACTTAAGACTTTTCCATCCAGGCTCTTTGGATTTCTTTAGACAAATGCACAGTGGTATTACACTTGCTATCTCTCCATCATTATTTTGAATGACCTCAAGGCATTGGCCATTAAGCTATGGAACAGAGGACCGGGAACAACCCAGAGATCAGTAGGTGTATTAGTTTGTTCTCACGCTGCTAATAAAGACATACCCAGGACTGGGTAATTTATAAATAAAGGAGATTTAATGGATTCACACAGTTCTACATGGCTGGGGAGGCCTCACAATCATGGCAGAAGGCAAAGGAGAAGCAAAGTCACATCTTAAATGGTGGCAGGAAAGAGAGCGTGTGCAGGGGAACTCCCACTTATAAAACCACCAGATCTCGTGAGACTTATTCACTATCACGAGAACAACAAGGGAAATCCTGCCCTCATGATTCAGTTACCTCCCACCGGGTCCCTCCCACAACGTGTGGGGATTATGGGAGCTACAGTATAAGATGACATTTGGATGGGGACACAGCCAAACCATATCAGAAGGTAAAGGAAAGGAATCTTCTAGCTAAATACCATATCTAAGTGAAATCTTTGTCTGTGGTTATTCACATATGGAATTAATTGAGAAATTATTCCAACACTGGAAATTCTGTAAACTTTTGAGGACATTGTATTGCCGGAGGCTAATAAGAGCCTGTCATTGTTAAACCTCTAAGGTTATTCCTTTCCTCAAATTAAGACCAATAGGAAGTGGGCCAAAAATATCTGTGGCTTCAAAGGAAGTGATCTTCTATAATACCCATTTCATATGTGGCCATGGATGAAAAGAGACAAGGAATAATCTCCCCAGAAGCAGGACGGGAGGATGCCAGAATGGGTAACCGAGGACAGCACCTCTGACAGAACACAGGAGTCCTGAGTTTTCCTGCCTGGCGGTGTTTGGTGTTGACTTTGGCACTGTCTCTCCTATGTGACTTCCATTGTTCTCCTTTCTGAATAGGGGTTAGTATTGCTCCTGATTAAATATTAAATAATGGTTGAAAAGGAGCAGGGTAAGTGCATTATTAGTAGGTGCAGCCAGGTAGCCAGGTAGCATTTGCTTCATTTACCTGTCCTTCATCCTTTCTCTCTTCTTTTCCTTCTTTTTTTTTCTGTTCTGGAATTAAAATTTGCTTGGGTGCAGAGTAGTCATCCTGGAGATCATTAAAACAGAAACCACAAGCTAAGGATGATGGAGGAGAAGCAAGCTAGAAAGAATCTGGTTCCAGATGACTTCCTTGAGCAGTTTCATCAGCTCTGGACTGACTCGCAACTTCTAGATTCCTTGCCATCTAAAACATGTTTAGTTCCCTGAAGTTGAATTTTTGTGTAAATACTTGTTCGTGACCAAATTCTAACAAACCGTGGCTTGGTTGCCAAGTAAAATCAGAGGTCGTGGAAAAGAGAAGAAGGTCAAATATTCTTATTTTGGGAAGCAGTAACTGAATTGGTGGAGATGGCAGTGTGGTAGTCCAGGAGGCAAATGTGAGGTTTAGAAGGTAGAGGGTATGGTGCCTAGACAAGTTGAGGAGGCAGAAGAATGTGACCGTGTCTGGGGTCAAAATGGCAATTCAGAGGCAGGAACAATGGTCAAAAGGATAGATAAGGCAAAGGAGGGGGCAGCAATGCTCTCTTAGCTAAAAGACCCTCAGGGCAGACTAGGACCTGTCTCCAGCAAGACACACTCTACTTTAGCTCAGCTTCATTCTAGCAAACATCCCTTAGTGCAGGTTGGCAACCGTAGATGGAAGAAGCAGAAGTACAACTCCCTCACCTTCCTGGTATCCTGTGTAGAAGCATGTCTGAGTTGATGTGCAGCTGATCATATCACGGGCCTCGTGTTCTGTCTTTTTACTGAACAAGCACGAGAACAGTCATTCATAGTGATGAACCATCTGGGTTTAGGCTTGGGTGCCTGCTGTTGAGAGGAGCCGTCTGGGTATGCATTTGTTTCTCACTTCTGGTAAATTAGAGAAAAGTTAGGCTTAGGGATTCAGGGAAGCCACTATCCAGGCCTCCAAAATCACCCACAGTTAAACCTGTTTGGCTCTTCTCAGCCTGGGAAGCCATTTATTTGTCTTTCATACATTTTTTGATTTGCTAGTTGCATTTCTGTTGATCAGATGCACTATTAGGAATAGAGTCTCTTTGCCTAATGAAGCTATAATGAAATTCTAGTCAAGAAAAGCAACAGCATCTTAGTTACCTACATAAATATCTGAATCATTTTGTTGGTCTCTCTAATGTTTCCTGATTTCTGTTCTTGCATTTTAAGAAGCTGCAGAGAAAGAAGCCCTCTCAGACATAGCAGTCATCCCAGCCTCAAGTGGACCTAAATTTGGAATGCCTGAAATTGAAAGCTCCGATAATGGATTTGCTCAAATCAAGGAGAATAAAGTCCTTCCTCCTGGCACGAATAAAAATGGTCGCAACTTTAATTTAAGTGGCATGCACTGGATTTTGTAATTTTCCACCCCTCTTTAATCTACTGGAAAGAAAACACAAAATGATGTAAGAAAATGGGAAAATCTGCCCATTGATATTACATCACCCTTTTGCTTCTGTATTAGCCACAGTTCTCTAGAGAAACAGAACCGATAGGATATAGACATATAGGGAGACATATATATATATATAGAGAGAGATAATGTAGACATATAGATGTCATATATGTCATAAATATATAAATACATATGAATATTTTTAAATTTGATGAACATATTAATTAAAATATTTTAAATTTTAGATACATATATATATATAGAGAGAGAGAGAGAGAGAGAGATTGAGATTTATTGTAGAAAATTGGCTCACACAATTAAGCTGGAGGGCGAAGAGAGCCAATGACATAGTTCCGTCTGAAATCCAAGTCTCAAAACCCAGGAAGAGCCAATGTTTTAATTCAAGTCCAAAAAACAGGAGGAAATCAATGTCCCAGCTTGAAGGCAGTTAGTCAGAAGGAGTTCCCCCATACTCAACTTTCTCGTTCTATTCAAACCTTCAACTAACTGGATGAGGCCCATTCACGTAAGGGAGGGCTGTCTGCTTTACTCGGTCCACTGTAAACGTTCACTGCATGCAGAAACAGCCTCACAGACACACCCAGAATAAAGTTCAACTAAATATCTGGCCACCTCATGGCCCAGTCAAGTTGATACATAAAATTAACCATCACACCTTAAGTGAGATTAAAAGGTAGATGTTTATAGCCTAGATCTAGCTCAGAGGTCAGTGTTTTCAAAAATTTTTTTAAATTACTTGTTGTCAAACCAGTGGATCAGAGACTACCAGGAACACATCTGTAGTGAAAAAAAAAAATAGTTTTACTTATATTGTTTCAGAAAGAGTGGTCTCACTTTGGGGAAACCCCAGGAGCATTTCAGGAGGGAGTTGTTAAAGGGGTCTTTTAGCGTTGGGGCTTATGTTAGATGATTTGAGGAGGGATTAGGACACGGAGACTAGTATTAGATTTCAGACCGCTAAGAAGGTAGGAGGTGAATCAGACCACCTCCTTCCCATAGCAAGTCTGGGATCATATATGTACTGATTCTTAATTTTTCTACTCACTTTATCTATTATTTCTTGTTAATCAGCCCAAACTTCTATCTTTACAAAACGTTTTTGGCCGGGCGCGGTGGCTCACGCCTGTAATTCCAGCACTTTGGGAGGCCGAGGCGGGTGGATTACGAGATCAGGAGATGGAGACCATCCTGGCTAACACGGTGAAACCCCGTCTCTACTAAAAATACAAAAAATTAGCCGGGCGAGGTGGCGGGTGCCTGTAGTCCCAGCTACTCAAGAGGCTGAGGCAGGAGAATGGCGTGAACCCGGGAGGCGGAGCTTGCAGTGAGCCGAGATCGCGCCACTACACTCCAGCCTGGGCGACAGAGCGAGACTCAGTCAAAAAAAAAAAAAAAAAAAAAAAGTTTTTAGGACAAACCCTTCTATACTTTCCAAGATACATTGTATCTTCCTTTACTTATACTAAGAAGGTAGGTCAATGCAGAGATAGGGTATCTGAATGAGTTTTATCTAAGAGGCGAGAGTATTAAAGTGGGTTTAGAGGTATTGTTATAGAAGCAGTATCCACTCACACTGGTGATGTTAGTCAGAAGAGGGGGATATTGAGTCATGTTTGTGTCACAGGGTGGCCTTATCTGTCTTTCTCTAAACGTAACTATGGAGTGAACTTATCTTTGTGTTGTTTTGAGCATTATTTGTGATCTTTTGGGAACATTGTTATCTGGTTGTCAGCAGAGCCACTTTTCACTTTCTCATTACCAACATTTAAAAATCGAGAGAATTTTGCCTAAAATATGGACTTGTCTTCTCTTGAAAACATTTAAAATATTGGGCTATGTTGGGCTTTTATTTCCAGATGATTCTAATAGGCTATCTCATCTCCAGTTTGTCCTAGATCTTACCCACTTATTATTATTTGATACCAGACGTACTCTGTTCTTTTATGATATCTTCCTGGCATTTGTAGACATACGCATTTTCAATCTCTGGTGTAGCTGATGAGTTAATCATAGATTTGGAATGGCCTGGGCCTTTCCAATTATTAAAAATGTTCACTTTTCATAATTTCTTCACAGTTATTGAAATGAAAGCATTTACCATCATTTAACTAAATCATTATACATTAAATTTTGGTCTATCTTACTTGGGGAAAGTAAAATGAAACCTCAAAACATCATATATCATATTTCAATTGACCGATCAGTCTATAAGTGGCTCAGCTGATTTACGTTAAATTTAAACGATAGTAAACTAAAATACTCCTTGTCTCTTTCTAGCTAAACCTCATAGAATGTCTATAACTTGTCTATCAGTGGGACTCTTTAGTATGAGTGACAGAATAATCTCACTCAAACTAGCTTAAACCAAAATAATTTATTCACTTTCATAACTGGAAAGCTAAGGGTAAGATTCATCTGTACAATTTGATTCAGGCACATAAATAGAGCCATCTCTGAATGTGATCTTTTCTATCTCTTATCTGGTCTCTATTATGTTGGTTTTAGTCTCAAGCTTTGCATGGAAGTGGCATGGCTCCCAAAATCTACATTCTTACATGCTTAACAGCCGTGGAAAGAAAGACTTCTCTTTTACGAAGTGAGTGAAGGAATGTTCTTGGTCTGAATATTATTGGTCCAATTTGGCTAAGATGTTCATCCTTGAAGTAATCATCTTGCAAATAATAGAATATAACAATTGTCTCAGCTCTGTTTCTTACACCTGGTCCTGGAACTGCAGGTGGTCAGCCCCACCCACTGATACAGCAGTGGATCTCAAAACAAAAGCTAGAGTACTAGTAATGGAAAAAGGTGAATGGCAGGAGAGAACTTCAAACAATAAATATTCGGAAGTCTCATGCAATAAATATCTATTGAAACTTGATAAGGTCACCACCTTTTAAGGATCTGATCTTCATTTTGATAGGTTCAGAAACAGTATTTGCAGAGATGATCACGCCGTTGGTTCTAAATCCCTGTAAACCTATTGGAAACTGATTTGTATATTTGCCTCAGGCTTCCTAGGAAGCAGACTCTGAAATAGAGACTTGTGTGCAAGAAATTTATTGAAGAGTTCTCTCAACACATTTGCAGAGGAGTGAAGAAAGTAAGAGTGGGAAGAAAAAAAGTTTGAATGTAATGAAGTCACCAAAAAAGGTCTTTAGCTGGTGTTACAGGAAGCTCTGGAGCAAGGATGCTCTTTTATATATGGGGGCTAAGCAATTATATTCTTCTCTTAGCTGTAGGTTTCCCAGAAAAGAGGTGGGAAGGGTGACTCTCTTCCGATAAAAGAAAATCCCAAAGAATGACTTAGCTGGGAGATGCCAGCTGTCAACATTCCTGGCAACTGGGAGAATGATTGCTTTGGTTTTGCTGTGGAGGGCAGGTCTTGGTAGCATGCCATAGCATCCACTGCAATAATGTGTGACTCCATCCCAGACATGTAACTGGTAAGGGAAAACAAATACTGCTGGGTGCAGTTGCTCACGCCTATAATCTTAGCACTTTGGGAGGCCAAGGTGGGAGGATCGCTTGAGCCCTGGAGTTTGAGATCAGCCTGGGCAACACAGTAAGACCCCATCTCTAAAAAAAAAAAAAAAAATAGCCAAGTGTGGTGGCGCATGCCTGTAGTCCCAGCTACTCGAAAGATGGAGAGGTGGGAGGATCACTTGAGCCTAGGAGGTCGAGGCTACAGTGAGCCGTGATTGGTCCACTGCACTCCAGCCTGAGTGACAGAGAAAGACCTTGTCTCAAAAGAAACAAAGAAAAGAAAAGAAATACTTATGTCAGTTCATCAGATAATGCTATTCAAAGAATGAAAGTCTTTCCTGGAGAATAAAATAACTATCAAAAACTCACTTGGTGAGTAAGGCAGTAGAATAGAGTGGAGCATGTGCTTTAAAGGAGCTATCTCCCTATAGTCGTGGAATGTCTTTGCCTCCACCACATAAATACACCTGGCCATTAGGCAGAGCAGAAAGCTCACATCATGTGGAGGTGAATCAGACCACCTTCATCCCACAGCAAGTCTGGGATCACGTATGTACTGATTCTTAATTTTTCTACTCACTTTATCTAGTACTTCTTGTTAATCACCTGAAACTTCTATCTTTACAAAATGTTCTCGTGACAAACCTTCTATACTTTACAAGATACATCTTATCTTCCTTTACTTATACTAATGGAATGCCTTTCTCTTTAGGAAGGCAACTGAGGGGTTTCTCACAAAGCTTTAAGAAGCACCCCCTTCTCATCAGCCACACTGACAAATTAAGTCTCACTTTGTCTAGCTAATTCATCTGTTTATGTGAATTCCTTTTAGTCCAGCCAAAGACTCATTGCAACCCTGTCTTCCCACTCATGTGATCTCATGAAATTATCCAACCTTTCAAATTTCAATGTTCTCATCTGTAAAATGAAGTTTTATAGAACATAGTCTTTAAGACGGCTTCTAGAATTCTAGGATCCTAACGTTCTACGATCCTTTCTCTTTCATTTATTTGTGATAAAAATGAAACAAATCCAGTGATTCATATGATCACTGGATCCATATAATCACAGTATTCAAATGTTCTGTCAGTCAGGGGCTCTTCAGGAGACAGAACAGAAAATTCAAATCTCTGCTAGCACACAGATATCAGTGGTAATGTACAAATACAGAGTCCCAACAACATAGTTATAACTGGATCAATTACCCTGTTTACAAATTTCAGGTAGATAAACCACTTGTGTATTTCTTATAAAATCTGTAAATTCTATTGGAAAATTAATTTGATCCTCCAAACTGAGGCCATTTCTTAATGCCAACAATACGTCACATGTCTTTCATGTCACAGGCAAAGTAATTTATGATTTATAGAAATAGGTTGTTGGCTGTTATGAATCAGAGACTCAAGTGCTAACTCTATCTGGCCCTGTTCTAAATGTTTTATGTGTATAATCTTACTTAACCCTTATAACAACTCTAAATTTACAAATGAGTAAACTAAAGCACAGATTAAATGATTTTCCCAAGATCCTAAGCGGTAGAGTTGGAATTCAAACCCAGGAATTCCAACTCCAGAAACTATTTGCTAAACTTCTTCATAGAGCTACGCCAAAATTGAGTCATGAAACTATTTATTTCTCTTCCTAAATAAGAGACAAAAAGAGAATGATAGTATATATTGTTAGAATACCAGAAATATATTTTCACACTCATTATATGTAAATGAAAATTTATCTTGTAATTTTCTTTTTGTAAACAATTTTCATCTTTCTAATATGTATACACTCAAACCTTATGATATATACATTACAAAGATAGTTTGATGTCTGGGTATCTCTTCACTTTTTGAAAGTTGCACAATCTTTAGTTTTTAAGTTCTCAATTCAATTTACCCATCTCATCACTTCTATGAATGTATTAATGAACTTGCCAAAAATCAGCAGTATCTGCAATATATTAGACACTGCTGAATGGTAGAAATACAAAAGCAAACATAACACATCCTCTTCCATCAAAGAGCTCATCGTTCAGTAGAGGATGCAGACAAATAAGTAATTACAATCTAATGGGATGAACACTATTATATTATAGCTGTATGTACATGTTGCTATGAGACCACAACTATTAGATCTAACTCTGCTTGAAGTGGGATGTAGGCAGACAGAAAAGATTTCACACAGTAAATATTTAGTGGGTACCTACTGTGTTCCAGATACTATGCAGAGGGCTGTAAGTACAGTAAAGATGAGATGGCCCTGAGAGAGCTTATCATCCATAAAAGATAAGGAGGGGTTTGTTAGATAGACTTTGGCTAGTGACATTCCTAGCAATGGAATAATAATGTGCTGAGATAGGAGACATGAATTTGTTCAGAAAACTCCAATAATTTCAGTGCACCTGGGAGAGGGGCAGAAGGTGAAAATAAAAAGATAGGAGGAGGCTAAATTACAAAAATTCCTGAATGAGTGAATGAGGTACTATAAGAGATAAAGAGCATTTGAAGTATTTTATTTTGGGTTGTAATGTAATCAAATTTTTATTTTATGAAGATAATTCTAGCATCTGTGGAAACGGATTACAGACAAATTAGAAACTATTATATATGTTAATTTTTGAGTTAAGAATTTGGACTAAGGCATGAGCAGTGGAGGGAAATTTCAAGAGATCTTCTAGAAGTAGAATTAAAGAGACTTGGTGTCCAACATATGGGAGGAGATCACAAATGAAGGCTGAAGGTGATTCTTGGGGTTTCTAGGTAATTAGTGGTACCACTAATAAAGACAATGGAATTAATTAAAGACAAGAGAATACAGGACCAGGTAGGTTTGGTGTGGAGGAGAAAACAATTATGTTTTGTACATATCAAACTTGAAGTACCTGCTAGATATTATAATGCCAGAAAGTAGTTGGATGCATGGATCTGAAACTCAGGAAGCTGGAGCTGAGATATATAGATTTATAACACATCAACAAGAAGACTGAAGAAAGGAGGAGATTGGGATTACTCAGGGAGAGTGTTTAGAAATTTTAGAGGGAGACTAGCATGGTGCCTGGGGTACACCAACATTTTGAACGTTATTGGGCAAAGCAGACCAATGGGAAAGACAGGCAGGTAAAAAGAGTAGCATTTTAAAGACAAGAGGAGGAAGTGTTTTAGACAGGAGAGTGTGGGACAATAATGTCAACAGTTGCAGAGAAGTGAAGTAAAATAAAAACAAGAAGTAGTTTTTAGATTCAGTACCTTGATGATTGAAATAGTTTTCAGCATGGATAGGAAGATACATTTTAAAAGCCAGGTGGATTGAGGAATGAATAAAAGATGAACAAAGGGTGTGTGTAGGTTGACTTTTCCAGAAGCTTGGTGTCTTAGTCCCTTTTGTGCTGCTATAACAGAATATCACAGACTGGGTAATTTATAGTGAACAAAATCTTGTTGGCTTACAGTTCTGGAGGCTGGGAAGTCTGAGATCAAGGCACCAGCAGGTCTGCCAACTCTGATTCCAAGATAGTGCCTCCAATGCTACATCCTCCAGAGGGGAGGAAAGCTTCGCTTTCACATGGCAGAAGATGAAAATGCAAACAGAGAAAGGGGGCTAAACTCACAGGGCTGAACTCACACTTTTTAAAGGGTATTAAGACAGCAGAGCCCTCATGGGCTGATCACTTAAAGGTTCCACCTTTTAATACTGTTGGAATGAAAACTAAATTTCTACTTGAGTTTTGGAGGGGAGAAACATTCAAGCCAAAGCACTTGGCTATTAAGAATAAAGACAGGCTAGCTAGAGGCGCTCTCACGGCAGAAGGCTAACATTTTTTTAGTTTGTTTGTTTGCTTTGTTAATTTTGTTACAGGTGGGGAAGAAGTGAGCATGTTTGTATACAGACAGGGTAAAGCCATGGAGAGCAAGTTCCTAAGAGTTTGTGAGAAGATTTACGGAGCAGAAACAAAATGGAGACAGGAGATACTGAAATGTAAAGAATAGCCGGAGGAAATAGCTCTCTGGTTCTCAAGCCTGGCTGTGCATTAGATGCATTTGGAAAACTTTCACGGAACAACAATGCTGAGACCCTGCTCTCGGCCAATGAAATCAAAATTGTTGTGAATGGGACCCAGGCATGAATATTCTCTAAAAGTTCTCCAGATGACTTCAGTATATAGCTAGAACTTCCTCAAACAAATAAGACGTATCTAACCTTATCAGCAATGTTGATGGGTGAGGAATATTTTCGAGGCTAGAATATCAGGAAAGGAGATTGAGATGACCCACTTCCAATTCTGGGCCTTTATTTTTATATTTCTTCCTGGCATCTGACAAATTACAGAAGTAAGATGCAGTGAACTTGAAATGAGTCCAGAGAGGTACAACAGTGGTGACCAAAAAGGTGCAAGTGTTAGTCCGTTAGGGTCCAGATTTCAAGAAATTGAATTAATTTGTCCAGATGAGAAGACTGAAGAGGCATTTAATTACAGCCATTGAGGAGTGAAAAGATTTTGTCAAGGGAAGTAGAACATCTGTTCACCCTATTCAATGAGGCCAGGACAAAGGGGAAATGACTTATAATTCAGCAAGATGCTAATTAAATACTAAAAATCTCTGGTCATGTATATGAGCTTTGAAGTGATGGGAAGTATGTCTGAAGATATTTTCTTTAGAAAATACAGACAATGTAGATATGGAAATGGATTAAGTGAATTCTAGAAATCTTTTTGATCCTTTGGAAAGCTTTTATATTGACATTATCTCACAAACTTCCTATCTTTTCTGTGAGAAAAATGACAGGCTCTAATTCCTTCAACACATTCCACCAACACACACACACACACACACACACACACACACACAGAAAGGAAGCTAAAACCAAACCAAATGACTGATATTTAAGATTTATATCAGTTATGAATATATTTGCTTATAGGGCAGCAAAATATGTGACTCCAGTTGATATGGTTTGGATTTGTGTCCTCACCCAAATCTTATGTCTAATTGTAATCCCCAATATCGGAGGAGGGGCCTGGTGGGGGGTGATGGATTTCTCTCTTGCTGTTGTCATAATAGTGAGTGAGTTCTCATGAGATCTGCTTGTTTAAAAGTGTGTAGCTCCTCCCGCTTCGCTCTCTTCCTCCTGCTCCACCCACGGAGGATGAATCTCCTTCCCCTTGGCCTTCCGCCATGCCTCCTCAGCCATGCTTCCTGTACAGCCTGCAGAACCGTGAGCCAATTAAACCTCTTTTCTTTGTAAATTACCCAGTCTCAGGTAGTTCTTTGTAGCAATGCAAGAATGGACTAATACACCAGTGAATTAACACATAAAAGTTTTTCACACAATAAGATCATTGAAGGTAAGTAGCTGTTAGTGTTGGCTCAATGGCTCAGCAATGGCAAGACCAGAAACCTCTGTGACTTATTTGGCATTTATCCTTCCTCCCCATGTTCATTTCTGGGTTGCAAGATGGCCATTCCACCTCTTGGTGTCAACCCACTTTCAAAGCTAGGAGAGAAAAGGACAAGGGCCTCTCTTCAGGCTGCAACTTTTCTCCTTTAGGAGAAAAACAAAAGCCTCTCAAAACCTCCCTCAGGCTTCCGCTAAGGGCTCCCTGGCAGAGACTTATGGTTGCTTATGCAACATTTATTTTCCCACAGTCTCCAATAAGAACCCAAGTTTATTTGGGGTGTCACTGTGCTTAACATAGTGACTACATTTTCAGCTATCTTTGTGTCTAGGGGTTGTCAATGACATGGCATGGAACTTCTTGAGTGTGGCTCTCAGGAAAGTTCCTTAGGAGCTGGCTGGAACACAGCTTTCTTGTCCTTCAGTTGTTATTCCCTGTCCCAGTCCCCGAGTCCTTCCTGTAATGTGGTATCATGGCTGGGGCCCCAGCTGACTTCCTTTTTTTTTTTTTGAGACAGTTTTGCACTTGTTGCCCAGGCTGGAGTACAGTGGCGTGATCTCCACTCACTGCAACCTCTGCCTCCTGGGTTCAAGTGATTCTCTAGCCTCAGCCTCCCGAGTAGCTAGGATTACAAGCGCCCACCACCACACCCGGGTAATTTTGTATTTTTAGTAGAGATAGGATTTCACTATGTTGGCCAGGCTGGTCTCAAACTCCTGACCTCAGGTGATCAGCCTGCCTTGGCCTCCCAAAATGTTGGGATTACAGGTGTGAGCCACTGCTCCCAGCCGAGATTTTCTTACTCAGTCACAGGAAGTGGGGGATCACCAGAGTGGTCTCTTTCACTTTCTGGCAGAATATTGAGCAGAAATGGCTCCTCGGGCAACCCCATTCCAAAGAGAAATAGATAAGCAGGTGTCTGGATGGCACATTCACAGTTTTTTATCCCATGCTCACCACCCTTGGTTGGCGAGTGAGAGGCCAGAGGTGACTCACTGCAGAGCTCCCTTCACAAGGAGGGAGGCACCAAGAGCAGGGGAGAAGCATTCGTTCACTAACCTCTCGAGTTTTTTATTTTCTAAACCCACAAGGCTTAAAAACTCAGTGCATGAATGACCATCTCCAGGAAGAAAATCAGTGGCTTTTTAGGACACTTGTGTTCTCAGCACTGTCCCTTTGTGCATCCTCTTAGGATCATGGGTGGACAGTTTATTATTTAACTTCAAAGGAGTTTGAAATGAACCAGAACAAATCGTTAATCAAATTAGTTCTAAACCCACATTCTAAGGCAGAAAATCCATTCCCTATTCTGTATTCTATTTCCTGCTCTACTTGCTACTCCAAACCATGCCCAGCCATATCTTCAAACAGACTTTCGAAGTTCTGCAGTAAGACTGGATGACAACATTATCACACTTTAATGACAAAATGTCAACAAAGGGATGTCTTACGTATGGATATAACTTCCCTTCCATTATCACATTTGCAGGGCATAGTTAAAGCTGATAGATTCCTTTCCCTTGCCCTGATAAGTGAAAAACCAAGAAAATAAAAGCCAAAAGTCCCTTTTCCCCAACCACTTATGCTGCTCTGCCTCAGCTAGATGGGCTTCAGGCGAGGTTGGGACAGCCGCGGCAGCTGTAAGCCAACTTGTCTCTTACTGAACTCAGTCCTTTAAAGCCTCAGAAACTACATTAGTTTTACATCAGTTCTTCGATGTACCTACTTATTAAAGAGGACAAAAAGCTAATAATAATAGTAATATCTAGTCACTAATTCTGTTCTAGACATTTTTCTATGTATTATGCTATTTAGCTATAACTACATTAACTCTTTATGTAGTGTTATTCTCATTTTTGATGAAAAAAAAATTGAAGCCTGGAAATTAAGGAACTTGCCCAAGATGCTTCAGCTGGTTTAGGAACAAGCCAAGACATAAGTGCAGGAAGTTCCGAAGTCCACTCTTCTGCTGCCCATCTCCAAATTTAGAAACAAGAATCCCCAATTCGGAGAAGAGTTAATCCAGACAAAATTATTTTCTGAGAACTCCATTCTCAGCATTGTCTAAGACCAGGGAAAATGCTCAACAGTTTCTAAAGAAAAGCAGGTAGGTGGAGGAAACAATTTCAAATTTTGCCCTTTTCATACATCCCAGTTGTTTAGAGCCCAAACTGGTAAATTTAAACTGAGTTGGAAGAAATTACCCATCAAGTGTTTAATTTTGGTCCAAGGCATTTACCATGACTGAAGTTGGGACAGATAGACCTCCGTGCATGCCATTTTTCTCTCTCAGGGGGAGTAGCATTTGAGGCATTGCTACATTTATGCAAAGTTGAGCAATTTGCCAGGGTGACCGTCAAGTAACCAGGTCTTATCTGAAGTGCTTTTATTACTATTTTGCCTATTCCCTAGGTCTTCATTTTCATTTCATTTTGGAAGCCCATGGTTTTGAGCATAATGCTGACCTAGGGGTGGGCTCTTCTCAGTGGTCTGGCCTCATTGGGGTGTCTCTGGTCACTCATCACATGCTGCTGCCACTCCTCTCTCTATGGAGTTAAGTCTGTGAATCCCACCTGCCGTGCAACAGTTTTTCCTCATCCCCTGTCTTTCATTTCCACTGGAGAATAAATGGCTCAGCAGCTGCTGTAGATGATTTCAAAGTTCTGGAGTGTAACAAGGACCAAATTTTCTGCTGTGTTGCTTCAATAACCCAGGCTCTAAGTAGCACTTCCTTCTGCTATGCCTTTTCTTGCAGGAGTGGGAGACAGCTCTGGCATTTCTCGTTTCTTTTTACAACCAATCCACTGTTTCTGTAATGGTTTAACTTACTGCTTTAATCTGTCCCTTTCTTTCTCTAAAACTCACAGGCCCCTCTTAGCATAGAAAGTACCTGAATGCCCCTCAGATAACTACACCTCCTTGAAATTCATTCAGCAACTCTTCAAGTATTTTAAAACTTTAGCCTTTGGACAAGCTACATGTATTCAAGGCTATCCATTCCTGCTTTAATGGAGATAGAATTTATCGGTTATTTTAGTGCAGTAATGCAGAACTAGGAAGGTACTAATTATCTCAAACAGTGTGTGACATTCTTAAAAAACACTCACAGCCCCCTTTTAGCATAGAAAGTATCTGAATGCCCCCAAGATGACTACACCTCCTTGAAATTCATTCAGCAACTCTTCAAGTATTTCAAAACATTAGCCTTTGGACAAGCTAAGTATATTCAAGGCTATCCAATGAGCAAAATCATTCAAGTTTGCTCCTTGGTCCAGAAAACAGGTTAGAATATGGGCAGCCAGATCTTGCATTTTTCACCTAGGTTTGACATTCATCATTTAAAGGCAAGTTCTCCCTCATGTCTTGAGCATACCTGGAGTGCAGCTGCCTCAAAATTTAAAAAAACAATCATTATCATTTTTTTGCCTACCAATGCCTTAACAGGCTGAGTATGTAAAGGTTCTCTTTATCCTAAAATGGAATCCTTACCTCAGCTACAACTGCTTAGAAAAATCATACCTTCTAGTTTAAGGTCAAGCTGCGGTGACTAACACCCCACAGCACACAGTATTTTTCCTGAGGCATTTGTACTGTTTTTCCAAAGCTCTCGTACTTGCAGCTCTGTCTCTATAGAGACAGCCGCTCACTGTGGACAAAGTTGCCATAAGCTGATGTGAACCACCAAGGTGAAAAGTCCCATATGGCTGTGCCTGAAGCCTAAAGCTTCTACTTTGGTAAGGTCAGCTGAAAGCTAAATAAATACCGAGTTGTAGGCAAGAGCTGTGCGGCTCAAGGTAGCCTCTCTAGGTTGTCAACGTCAAAGCTATGTGCTTACTGAAGTCTAAATTCCTGTATCCTGGCCTAAAGTAAAGACTCACCATGTGGTATTTCAGTCTCAGTCTCAGATTTCTGGCCCAGCATGATGGATACTGAACACAGTATTTTCTCTCCTGTCCAATTGAGAACCAATTAAACCAATTGAGAGGGGAAAAAATAGGGTCTATGGGAAACACATATCAGTTTTGTGAAGCTATTATTTATAATATGGCATAAACCTGTGGCCTTCTAATAATGAGTTACAGCAACTTTTGCCTTTACAAACCATGCTGGTCCACTGCAGTTCCCACCCATAAATCAAAACAGACAGACCTCTGTCACCATGTGGCAGGAAGTAGTGGAAATTCCTGGCTCCTACAAACAGTCAGAACTCAAAGAAAAAGGAAAGAGGGAGGGGCTGGTGCAAACAGCTTCCTTATGTCCCAAACTCACCAATTAAATGAAGGGACTTTTCCTTTTTTGGGAAGGAGTGAGTGTTACACCAAGGAAACCCCTTCCCAGGGGAAGGAAATATTAGGCTCAGACAATTAGGTAACATGTGCAAGATCGTAGCATTAGGTAGTATTAATGCTGGAATCTGAATCTGGGCTGAACAACTCCAAAGCCACTGCACACTGAGGCCTCTAAGAAATAGCTAATCACCATCTCCTTTGTACAGCTCTGTTTCTTGCAGATACCACTCTTACTACACCTGTTATGGCACTCTGCTATAGTTGTTCCTGACATGGCTCACTATCCTACCAGGAAGAGACTGTGACTTTATCATCTTGGTATCTCCAATCCTGCAATAGTGCATGACACGTAGTAAGAATTCAATACAGGCTTGTTGAGCCCAACTAGAGTGAACTATTGTCTTTAGAAGAAACTCATGATTGTTCTGTTCTTGGAATCACTGAATAACAAATTATCCCCCAAAGTAGAAGCTTAAAATAACCATTCTATTTTCCTTATGATTTTGTGAGTCAATAATTCTGGAAGAGTGAGGTGAGGCTGTTCTTGCTTGAAGTCTCTTTTTTTTTTTTTTTTTTGAGACGGAGTCTCGATCTGTTACCCAGCCTGGAGTGCAGTGGTGAGATCTCGGCTCACTGCAAGCTCTGCCTCCCGGATTCATGCTTTTCTCCTGCCTCAGCCTCCCGAGTAGCTGGGACTACAGGCACCCGCTGCCACGCCCGGCTAATTTTTTGTATTTTTAGTACAGACAGGGTTTCGCCGTGTTAGTCAGGATGGTCTCGATCTCCTGACCTTGGGATCCACCCACCTCGGCCTCCCAAAGTGCTGGGATTACAGGTGTGAGCCACCGCACCTGGCCTGAAGTCTCTTGGGTAATTGTAGTCCGATGTTGACTACGGTCATCTGAGGGCTTGACTGGGATGGCCATCCAAGATGGTGCTCTCACGTGGCTGGCAGTTGATACTCTGTAGGATGGATGGAATCAGCTGGAACTGTCAACAGATTGCTGCCTCTTCAGCCTGGTGTTCTCCACGTAGCCAGACATCATCCGTGGTGGCTGGTGTTCCCCAGCAAGCATCTCAAGAGAACCAGGAGGAAACTGCAAGGCTTTTTCTGGCCTGGCACTAAAGGTCACACAACCTTGGAAGTCACTTCCACTGCATTTTATTGATATGAGTTAGTCACTAAGATCAGCCCAGATTCAAGATGAGAAGAGATAGCCCCTACCTTTCGATTAGAGCAATGTCAACAAATCTGTGGACAAGGTTTGAAATTCCCACATGACCTTTCCCATCAATTTTACTGCCTTCTCTCTCCCTTGCCCCCTTATAGGCAATCCATAATTTATACCCCTTGTGTTCCATTCCTCTTTTAACTGATAAATGAACTTTTTCTTAACTAATTCAGTGAATGCTGACGAACGAATATGTTGCTTCTCTAAAGCAAAATGTTAGAGAGGACTTTCAGAACTCAAAGAACAGCTTGAATAGTTCTTAATTTTTAAGAACAATGCTTTGTGAATAACATGTGTTTGAAAAGACAAGCTGACAGAACTGAAATCACACAGGATGTAGCTAACTACATGTAGAAATATCAAAATATGGGGATTATGTCCTAAGTACACAGAATTATACAAAGTTGGGCCCTAGAATATCAAATGCAATTGAACAATTGCCAGCTTTAATGGAGATAGAATTTATGGGTTATTTTAATGCAGTAATGCAGACCCAGGAAGGTACTAATGATCTCAAACAGTGTGTGACATTCTCAAAAAACATATTTTAACTTGAAAAATATATGCCCTGTGATACTCTTCAGAAGAGAAAACTCTGGCGGGGGGGCGCACAGAAAGAGAATGATATTTGAGATCACTATGATGGTTTGTTTAGGTTGTTTGCTGATCAGGAGCAAAGGAGACTAGGACTGAGATCATACTCAGTGAAAGGAGCAAGATGCTATTTTGGAAAGTGGAAAAAGTAACATATTTTAATGTAAAATGGGTGTCTATAAACGTTCCATTTTCGGCAATGTATCAGAGACTATCTCTATATAAAACTTCCTAGTAGAAAACTAATAAAAGTATACAAAACATCTGTTTCAGGGAATTTTTTTTTTTTTTTTAGACAGAGTCTCTCTCTGTCTACCAGGCTGGAGTGCAGTGGCGAGATCTCAGCTCACTACAACCTCCACCTCCCAGGTTCAAGTGATTCTGATGCCTCAGCCTCCCAAGTAGCTGGGATTACAGGCATGTGCCACCACGCCCCGCTACTTTTTGTATTTTTAGTAGAGATGAGGTTTCACCATCTTGGCCAGGCTGGTCTCGAACTCCTGGTCTTGAGTGATCTGCCCACGGTGGCCTCCCAAAGTGCTGGGATTACAGGCGTGATCCACCATGCCCAGCCTTGTTTTGGGGAAACGTTTTTGGTTGAAATATTATCTATATGCAAAAAAGTTCAACAACTGTAAATCTATTGCTCTAAAACTTTTACAATTGGTATTTTGAATATAATACCATGATCAAGAATATGATTGACATCCTTGAAGGCTCTCTCGTGCCTCTTTCAAGCTACTGTTCCCCCAAAAGTTTGCTACCATTCTGACTCCTATAGCCAGAAGTCAGTTTAACTTGCTTTTGATCTTTATATGTGAGAATGTTGTAGTATGAGCCCTACTGTGTTTGGCTTCTTTTGTACATGTTGTGAAGTACAACGTTAATGTATTTATTTTCACTGTTGTATAATATTGTAATGAATGAACATGCTTCCCATTATTTTTTCGTACTATTGTTGATAGGTTTTTTGGATTCTTTCGAATTTAGGACAGTGGTTTTCTTTTCAATTTAGGACAGTGGGATGATTTTCCTGCCCCAAGGGGATATTTGGCAATGTCTGGAAACAAGTTTGGTTGTAATGACTGGGGGAGGCTACTGGAATCTAGTGAATAGAGGCCAACGATGATGCCAATCATCCTATAAAGCACAGGAAATCCCCCACAACAAAAATTATTCAATCCAATGTGTCAATAGTGCTGTGGTTGAGAAACCTAGTTTAGGACAATTCCAGCAATCCTACCACAAACACCGTTGTATGTGTTTTTTGGTGAATTATATGTGCATTTCTCTTGGATGCATACTTAGAAATATAATTTCTGGGTAATAGAATAGGCACATGTTCAGCTTTAGAATATATGGCCAAACAGTTTTCCCAAAAGATTTTACCATTTTACACTCACCACCACTGGTATAGGAGGGTTTCAGTTGCCCTACATCCATCCAACCCAACTTATGAATTTTGGCACTCTGGTGGTTGTATAGTCATATCTCTTTGTGATTTAATTTTCATTTTCATGATGACAAATGATGATGAACACTTTTTCATATGATTACTGGCCATTTAAATATCTCCTTTTGTGAAATGCCTATTCAAGTATTTAGCCCAATTTTCTGCAGGGTTGTTTGATGTTTGCTTATTAATTTGCAGGATTTATTTATACATTTTTTATGTGTCCAGACCCAAGACTTCTCTCTCCACGTCACAATGTGCCCATAGATATGCAACCTGGAAGTGCAAGGAGCTGCCACCTTTTTGGGTAAAAATTTGACCACTGGGGGACAGGAATTGATGGATTAATAGTTACCCTTTTTATCCCACCCTGGACAAACATTCTGAAAGCCTGTTATATGTTTACACAGCCAGTCCTATTGAATTGAGCAACCAGTCACCCATATCAGAGGCCAATTCAATAATTTATCCTTAAACTTCAAAATGAAACATCTTTCTAGACTTTCCTGATAAATGATCTGTTCAGATTCAGAGTTTGGGATACCACAAAACTACAGGTGCTGTTTTAAGCTGATCTTGATGGATCATTTAAACAACAAAGTTCTTGTCTCTCTGAGAAGAGGTCTCAAGAAATCCAACTATGTCACAACCTTTGAGGGAATATAATGTTAATATTTGGAAGGAATGGATGCTAGTGATTATCTTGCCTGCCTGCAATGTTCATGTCAGAAGCTCTCTTACACCTGTCTGCCTCTGGAACTCAGCTTATCCCAGGTTGAATTGCTCTAAACAACATACAATATTTCGTAAATAAAGAGCCCAACTTCGTTCACCTCTAATTTCCATGCATTAACAGATAACTTTAAGTATGTATTTGCTATATTTATAACACTGTGCTAAAACCTTTATATATAGATCAGCAAATCCTCACACACAAAATAGTAAGTCTATTATTAGCTCCATTTGACAGGTGAGAAAATTGCACATAGCAGTTTAGTAACTCACCCAAGATTACGTAGCTCAAGTGTGTTGAAACACATTTGTGGGTTTTTGGTTCAAAATTCCTGTTTGATTAACTGCAAAGTTCCACTGCTTCACTTTGATCATAGTTCTCAATCCAAACATCATATATTGGTTGCCGATAGCACGTGACATAATTTCAAGTCCCTTGATATCACCACTGTGTTGTTCCTTAAGGCTGCTTCTCAGTGTTTTCCTATTGATGAGGAGGAGGAGGAGGAAGAAGAAGAGGAGGAGAAGGACAATGAATCACCTAGTTTGGCTTCCCTTATAAAATACAAAGTAGGTAAACTCTGGGGAAAAAAATGTCATCCTGTCCACTTCGAGAGGAACAGATGGCTCAAGCTTATAAGGAGCTAGGCAAACACAACTAGGAAACTGGAGCCTGGTCCTAAGCATACAGTGGGCTAATAAAAGAAAACAAACATTTAGTAACCAGCGCTGAATGAGATAACAAGAAAAATAACCACAACTATAATCACAGGGCTTTAAGCAAGCCAGGGGGAGCACAAAGGGAATGTCATCCATATAACACAGTGGTTGCCTTCCTATTTTCTCATCCTGAGAATGTTTAATTTCTGCTTTATTCTTAGTGACTGACTCAATGAAGGCAGAGATTAAAGTGGAAAGACCATGGGCTTTGGGGCTGCACATACTTGAGTTTAAAATCAGAATTTGCCACTTACCAGCTGTATGTCTTTGGGGACATTGCTTGATCTCTGAGGCTCAATTTTCTCATCAGGAAAATGAGATTGATAGAACAGCGTCTTTCAGGGATTTTGTGAATGTAGGTGTCTGGGATGGGTTTTCTGAGAAACATGATGAGATGGCAATTTGCATGTAAGAGTTTTATTGAGCTGTTCTCAATATTGACACCTTCAAGGGGAGGGGAAAATTAAGACTTGTTATGCAGTGACAGTGGAAACCTCCTCTGACGCTGTAAGAGCTCTGGAGATTAGATGAGTCCTCAGGATAATCCTGCCTATGGCCAAGCCTTTATGCTTTTCCACCATGGACCAGACATTGGATGTGAGCTGCTTCCAGGGAGGCCGTGTGACCTTGGGCTGGGTGGCTCTCCTTAGCTTAAGCAGATTCCCTGAGAGCTGATTCCCCAAGGGCTTGGAGAATGAGTGCTTCAGTTGTGAAGGTGGATCTGGGCAGTGCCCCACAGTGTCCACTAGAGCAGGTATGCCCCCCACCGCATGATTCAATAGATAACTCCTTACCTTACCTCTCCTTCCCACAGCCTTGTGCTTTTCCTTAAGATGTTGCAATTGGACTTCAAGCTGCCACTGTCAGGGTCCACCCTTGGCTTCCTCTGTCTTCCTGGTCCCAGTCCCAGCTCCCTTTTCTGCTAGTCTTTCAGGCAAGACCCAGCCAGTCAGTTCAGAGACTTTGAGAGTTTCCTGAAAGCTACCAGCTTTTTGAGCTCAGGTTCTAGAGTTATTTATCTTGGACATCTCTGTCCATTACTATGCATCTCTGCTTAGTCTAGATACTGGAGCTTAATCTCCAAATGTGAATCTGGCTCAGATCTGAAAAATTGCGAATCGCCAGACAGCTCAGGTAGAAGCCGACAAAGGAAGCCCCATTGAAATTGTTGGTATGGAGGTCAGGGCTTTTCCCATGATGGGTGGGTGGGAATAATTAGCTAGCTGCCATACAGTGCTTCCCACGTAGCCTGGAGGATGATTGAATTTTATTTTGTATGATATGCAAACCCTTCCAAAGCATCAGTGCTGGCTTTGATTGGTAGCAGCTAATATTTATTGAGCCCTAGTCATGGGTCACATGCTGGGCTAAGTGGTCCATGTGGATTATGCCACCTTGTTCTCGCTGCAACCTGATGAGGCTCCCACATGGAGGGCTGTATTTTCTCCATTTTGTAACTGAGAAAACTGAAGCTTTGAAATGATTTATTTATTAAGGGTCAATGTACTTTGAATCCAGGCAGTATGACTCTCAACATCTATGCATAAATTATGGTCTAAGGCATTGGGAGAGGTGCAGAATCCATACCTGCTCCCTTAGATCCAGGAATGACCCCTTTGTGTTAAGGAGGAGCCATGGGGTTTGTAGTGGATTGAATAGTGTACACCCAAATTTATGTCCATCTGAAACCTTAGAGTGTGATCTAATTGGAAATAGGGTATTTGCAGATATGATTTAAGATGAAGTCATCCAGGATGTAGGGTGAGCCCCAAATCCAGTGACTGGTGCTCTTAAAAGATTCGTGGAGGACACAGAGAAATAGACAGGAGGGAAGGTCATGTGACGATAAAGGCAGAGGCTGGAGTGATGCAGCCACAAGCTAAGAGAGGCCTGGGACCACCAGAAGCTGAAAACAGAGTTCTTCCCTAAAGACCAGAAAACGTATGGCCCTGCTTAGCCTTGGATTTCAGACTTCTATGTTCCAGAACTGTGCAAGAATAAGTTTCTGTGGGCTTAAACCACCATATTTGCAGTCATTTGTTATGGCAGACTTCGGAAATGAATAATAAGGTAAATAGAAATGGCTAAACTGGGAACCATTGGCTTTCTGGTTCTCAGGGCCAATTTTTTTCTATAAAATGAAGCTTTCAGTCTACATGACCTCGAGGAGCCCTTCACCTTTGATCCTAAATCATGCCATTCCCTAATACAATCTTGGTGACAGCTATTCTGTTTGTCACATTCATTAAGACCAGGCAGTTACCCAGCTCCTACATATGCCTTTTTAAAATGGCTTTTCTGCCACAAAAATCTTAAATAAAATGCAGTATAAAGTGACTTCAATTTTGAAAGTACCCTTCATTTGTTCTTGCCGTTTGTTCACCTCCTGAGCCAGGCACTTGGAGCACAAATGACAGCATCAGAGGTTAATGCGAGCATTTATATTTGCCTGAATTAGTCATTTTTTCCCCAATGGCCTGTGTCAGTAATGTCTAGGCCCTAGAGAGAACGTGTCTCTCAGAAGTGGAGGATCACATTAATCACCTGAAAAAGGCTGAAAAAGTGCAGCACTTTTTACAGCAGAGACAATGCCTGTGTGATTGGTTTCCTTTAAACTTTCAAAAGACAAGGCTGGGACTAACATCTTCTCATCATGGAAACAGCAAGTTGAAACAATATAAAGTAGATTTTTACCCCTAAAATTCTTTGCTCCTCGGTCATTTCAAAACTGGATCTAGTCATGGATCATGTTCCTTCCCTTTGGAGAGCCTTTCAAGATGCCCATGGCGGAATCCTAAAGACAACAGGAAGTTGAAGCCAAGAAAGGTTAATTAACTTGCTCAAGTTCACCCAGACAAAAAGTAAAGGAGCTAGATCCAAACTTAATGAGGTCTGACTCCAAATCTCTGTCTCCCAGGCTGGAGTGCCGTGGCGCGATCTCAGCTCACTGCAAGCTCCGCCTCCCGGGTTCACGCCATTCTCCTGTCTCAGCCTCCGGAGTAGCTGGGATTACAGGTGCCCGCCACCAAGCCCGGCTAATTTTTTGTATTTTTAGTAGAGACAGGGTTTCACTGTGTTAGCCAGGCTGGTTTTGATCTCCTGACCTTGTGATCCTCCCGCCTCGGCCTCCCAAAGTGCTGGGATTTCAGGCGTGAGCCACCGCACCCGGCCCAAAGTGTGGGTTCTTAATCCCTACCCTACTTCCACGGTGTCTCCATTCACAGAATGGAGTAGCTGGAAGTAAGAACAAAGAAAATGAAACCAGTCAAGAGACTGTTGTAATTGTTATATTGTTTATTGCAAAAAAATTCACACTGGATTAAGGTAGGAGTAGCACTGTAGAGGCAGTGGATTGCAAAATTAGGAAGACAGAAGTTAGATATGGAAATGAATTTGATGTAGAAGATGCAGGAGATAGAGGGCTGAGATAGATGACACCTACATCGTGTCTTGGTAAATGAGTATATGATGGTGGTAGTCACTTAGATAAGGAACACAGGAGGAGGGATATGTTTGGGTACAGATGGTGGATTCAGTTTTGGACATGCCAATTGTATCTCTATTCCTGTGGAGGTGTTCGGTAGACAGTTGTCTAAATGGTAAATGTATTAATCCCTCCTGTTTTTGCATTTCTTCAGATTTGCTTGGTTACTCCCACCTTCCAAGCACTTGGCCACTTGCTTGGTGGACAGCCGCAACTGTTGCCACCCTGACTGTCAACAATACTTGCAGCCTCAGCTACTTCTAGAGAAGACCAGGCTCTCGCATGTTCCATCATCCCCAGCACAGAGAAAGTCACTGCAGTTCTAGCCTCCAGATCTGGCCTAAATGGAACCAGTGGCTCTGGCCCCTCCCATCACTTCTGGTCTCATAAAGAGCCACCCTGGGAGATAAGCTGTCCAGTCTCCCAAATCCTGGAACACAGTGAAGTAAACATTCTATGTGGTGAAATTTCACTGATAAAAGACAAAAGATGGAGAGAGGCAGTAGATCTATTTTCCTTTCTTCTTCACTATTGACTGTTTCACAGCACAGTGATGCCAGCATTCTGCCTGGAGACATCCTGTGTGAGAGAACAAAAGAGCTGCCCTTTCCTGGAGGCTGTAGCCAACTTCGATGTGTAAAACTTAATATTTGTTTCCCCTATTTTTCTTTTCCTTTCATTCTAGATTCCTGGATCGTGCCTCCTACCTAAACAAAGCATTAGCTTACAGCTTTTTCCTTTGATTCTGTTTTCCAGGGAACTTAGGTTATGACAATTTGTACAAGGAGTGGCTCCAGAAAGCAGATTCTCAGCATGGGGTTTTGAGAGTGGTTTTCCTATCTGTCTAAAGGGAATAAAAAGCTGGAGTAAGTGTGATGGCAAAACCCCTCTGGCATAGAGAACATGATACATACTAAAGCTTTCACATTTGTTTAATTGGGCAAGGTGCAGGTGAAAGGGAAGGAGATGAGAGATCAAGTGGGCACCACACTAGATTGATATAAGGGCAGGAATAATGGTAAGAGTTGTGGTATGGGGTGAGTATTTTTGACAGTACTGAAGATCTTACAAAAATATAAAAAACAGTAAGTCTAGAGTAGTTAACTGCCAACTTAAGGAATACTGTACAGTTAGAGATTTCTGTGGCAGCTTTAAAGGAAAATATTGTCATCTGCAGCCTGAGGGCATGCTCTGTTGAAATTTCAGATTTATGATCTGATTATAAGTGTGGCTGAATTGCAAAGGAGGCTGAATGCATAGCTTTGACACTTTACTATGTCAAAGTCAAGGCCCTGATGGGAAAATAGTAGACCCCAAGACCTGGCATGGAGACACTGGGAAGTGTCTCCTATACCATACCTATAATCTCATACCTATAAATTAACTCCAAGTCGTTCTGGCAGGAAAAGCAACTTTCTTCCCCTTGCCAAAGAAGAATAGATTTTCCTTGACTGGAAACTGTACAAAACCTGATATAAATGAGGTCACTTGCAATATGATGTTAGGTCCCAAGCTCCACTCTCTCGACATCTCATTGACTTCAGGCCAATAAACGGGGTCAGACTTTAGCACAGCCTGAGCAAGGAAATACAACCTCTGTTTCAGGAAAAAAAGTAGCCAAAATATGCCAAAGGAATTGCAGGGCAAGACTAACATGGACCAGTAGAAAGTGGGAGAATATGTGTGAAAGGGAATACTGAGAGTGTTAGACTTGGGTGGTGAGCATGCTGGAGCATGATGAATAGAGATGAGTTTATTGACACGGGAAGGACTCACCCATGGCTTGGGATTTAATATTTTGCTCTGGAAAGACACGTGTGTAGGATATAAACCTGGTGAAGATTCATGAGCCTGGCATATTTATGAAATTAAGCTAGAACACCTGCCTGAAACTGGGTCTTAAATTTTGTTGGAACAACTTGAAGCATGGACATGGCAATGGGCTAGAATTAATAGGATGGAGATGCCAGAATCTCCTTGGCCTAAGATTGAGGAAAGAGTCAGATGGCTCATGAATGTGGAGTGTTAGGATGGATTTGTATGTAAAACCCAAAACCTACCACTTGGCAGTTTCCCAAGGAAAGTCTGGAGGCTCCTTTCACCAAGGCAATCAAGAATGTGCTGGCGAAGGAGGGGAGGAACCAGGGTCTTTCCAAACCTTGGTGGTGCTTTCTTCTGAGGCCAGGCTTGAGAGTGGAAGATGCTGGCATGGAACTGGCTTCCTTTCTATCAATGGGTGTGATAGGTTTCTGGAAAGTCAGAGACCATGTTTAGCATTTAACTCCCAGAAGTGAAGTAAATATATGTATTAATTATATATTGCTAAATGCATTTATTCTAATGGTTTGTGAATTCATTTGTATTTACATATATAATCACATTGTCTGTACATAATGAGAGGCATATTCCTTCCTTTCTCATCCTTATGTATATATTTTTTCTTTTTGTTGCCTTATTGCTTTGACTTGGACCTTTCTTACAAGGGTAATGTCTTCATCTCACTTGTGATCTTAGAAGAAAATATTTTGATATTTCATAATTAACTATGATGTTTGCTGTAGATTTTTTGTAGGTGTATCTTTTCAGGTTGAAGGAAGTTCCTTCTCTTCCTAGTTCGCTGAGTTCTTCTTATTATTATTACTATTATCATCATTATTATTCATGGATGTTGGCATTTTAATTAGTTTTCTGACTTTACCAAAATCATTTAATTTTTCTTTTTTCTGTTAATGTAGTGAATTATCTTGATTGCTTTTTGAATTTCAAAACACCTTTACATTCCTGTAATAAACCCAATGTTTTTGTGATATATTTTTGTTTCGTATCACTGGACTTTATTTTCCTATTTTGTTTAAGATTTGATATCTAGGCCAGGCATGGTGACTCACGGCTCTAATCCCAGCACTTTGAGAGGCCAGCACGGGTGGGTCACCTGAGGCCAGGAGTTCAAAATCATCCTGGCCAACATGGTGAAACCCTGTCTCTACTAAAAATACAAAAAAATTAGCCAGGTGTGGTGGCAGGTGCCTGTAATCCCAGCTACTCAGGAGGCTGAGGCAGGAGAATCGCTTGAACCTGGGAGGCAGAGGTTGCAGTAAGCTGAGATTGTACTACCACACTCCAGCCTGGATGAGAGAGCGAGAGTCCGTCTCAAAAAAAAAAAAAAAAAAAAAAAAAAGATTTGTTATCTATCCATGAGAAACACTGACCCTAACTTTCCTTTCTAGTAATGTCTTTGTCAGATTTTGGTATTCAGTTAATGCTGACCTCAAAAAAGTGGGGGGGAGGGGGTATTTTCCTTTTATTCTAATCTCTGAAAGGTTTGGTGTGAGATTGGCATTATTATGGCAATCCATATTTATGCCTTAAATATGGCATATCCATATTTGATGAAGTTTGGCTGTGTCCCCACCCAAATTTTATCTTGAATTCCCACATGTTGCGGGAAGGACCCCTTGGGAAGTAATTGAATATGGGGTCAGGTCTTTCCCATGCTGTTCTCATGATAGTGAATAAGTCTCACGAGATCTGTTGATTTTTAAAAATGGAGGTATCCCTGCACAAGCTACCATCCATGTATATGTGACTTGCTCTCCTTGTCTTCTGCCATAATTGTGAGGATTCCCCAGCCACATGGAACTGTAAGTCCAGTTAAACCTTTTTCCCCAGCCACATGGAACTGTACATCCAGTTAAATCTTTTTCCTTTGTAAATTGCTCAGTCTCAGGTATCAGCAGTGTGAAAATGGACTAATAGAATAAGGATATTTGAAAAACATCATCAATAAAACCATCTACATCTGTGTATTTCTTCTGAGAAAAATTTTAATAACGAGTTCAATTTTAGTAATGGTTTTATGATTGTGGCTGTTATTTTCCAAGGACTGTTTTCAATTCATTGTCAAATTTATTAGGTTTAAACTGTTAATAATATACTATTATTTTATTGTCTATAAGATCTTTAGTAATGTTTTCTTTTTTATTCCTGATATTGGTAATTCATGTTTTGTCTCCTTTTTCTTTTTTCCTTTTGCATCGGTCTTACTAGAGGCTCTCCAGGTTTTTTGTTTTGTTTTGTTTTGTTTTGTTTCCAAGACAGAGTGTCATTCTGTCACCAAGGCTGGAGTGCAGTGGCAGGATCTTGGCTCACTGCAACCTTCACCTCCCGGGTTCAAGTGATTCTCCTACCTCAGCCTCCTGAGTAGCTGGGACTACAGGTGTGCACAACCACGCCTGACTAATTTTTGTATTTTTGGTAGAGATGGGGTTTTGCCATGTTGGCCAGGCTGGTCTCAAACTCCTGGCCTCAAGCCAATCCTCCTGCCTCAGCCTCTCAAAGTGCTGGGATTACACGCACGAGCCACCATGCCTGGCCAGACCCTGTAGTTTGAATTGTATTTTCTTTCTGTTGTACATTGGATTTCATTTTATCGATTTTAGCTCTTAAATTAATTAATTAATTTTGAGACAGGGTCTCTTTCTGTCACCCAGGCTGGAGTGCAGTGGTGAAATCATGGCTCACTGCAGCCTCAACCTTCCAGATCAAGTGATCCTCCCACCCCAGCCTCCCAAGTCGCTGGGACCACAGGAGCATGCCACCATGCCTAGCTAACTTTTTGTATTTTTTTTTAGAGATGGGTTTTTGTCATATTGCCCAGGCTGGTCTTGAACTCCTGGGCTCAAGTCATCCTCCTGCCTTGACCTCCCAAAGTATTGGGATTACAGGCTTGAGCCACCACACCCAGCCTATTTATTATTTATTTGTTTTGATTTGTTATTTTTTCTATTTATTGTAATAAATTCTTAGATTGTTTTCTGGCTTTGTTTTTTGGTATATTTAAATACACATGTATTTAATGTATATTTAAATACATATATTTAGATCTACATATTTTCCTTCTGCAGGCACTGTTTCTGCTTTATCTCACAAGTTTTGTCGTGTTCTATTTTCATTGAAGTTAAATTCAGAATATTTTCTGATATTCATTTTAATTTCTTTTTTGAATTATATGTTATTTAGAAGTATGTTGATTGATAGTCTTAATATTTGGAGATTTCCAGCTGTCTTTTTAAAAATGACTTTTATCTTTATTGTATAATTACAGAAATAATCTCAATTATTTCAGTTTTTTTGAAATGTGCCAAGACTTGCTTTCTGATGCAGCATATGAAGAGTTTTGGTAAATGCATATGTGTATTCTCTCATTCTTGAGTATGGTGTTATCTGTATGTGAAGCATGTAATGTTCACATTTTCCATATTGTTAATATTATTTTATTTCTTAATTCTAGCACTTATAAAAAGGAATGTGTTAAAATCTCCCAATTTGATTAAGGATTTCCATATTTAGTTTAACTGTCCTTTATTGTAATGTGTTTGTGTGGTTTTGATGTTAGAGTAATGCTGGTCTCATAGAATGAGTTAGGAAGTATTCCTCTGCTTCTATTTTTTTGGGCTATATTGTAGATAATCAATAGCACCTATTTTTTAAATATATTGTAGAATTTACTGGTCAAACTATAGGGGCTTGGTTGCACTCTATTTGGAGGGTTATATATTGTTGATTCAACTTCATTAATAAATACAAGCCTATTCTGCCTGTAATCCCAGCACTTTGGGAGGCCAAGGCAGGCAGATCATGAGGTCAGGAGACTGAGACCATACTGGCTAACACAGTGAAACCCTGTCTCTACTAAAAATACAAAAAATTAGCTGGGTGTGGTGGCAGGCGCCTGTAGTCCCAGCTGCTCGGGAGGCTGAGGCAGGAGAATGGTGTTAACCTGGGAGGCAGAGCTTGCAGTGAGCCGAGATCGTGCCACTACACTTCAGCCTGGGTGACAGAGCGAGACTCCATCTCAAAAAAATAATAAATAAATAAATAAATAAATAAATAAATAAATAAAATAAATACAGGCCTATTCAGATGATCTATTTCTTCTTGTATGAGTTTTAGTAAATTGTTTCTTTCAAATAATTGTTTCATTTGTGGGCTTTGAATTGTTCATAATATTCCTTTATTATCTTTTTAAAATATTTGTGGCATCAGTAGTGATGGTCCCCCTTTCATTTCTGATATTAGAAATTTGTGTCCTCTCTTTTTGTGGTTAGCTTGGTTAGAAGTTTTTCAATTTTACTGATCTTTTCAAAGAACCAGCTTTGGTTTTGTTGTTTTTCTCTATTAATTTCCCATTTTCGATTTCACTGATTTCTGCTTTGATACTTACTATTTTTCTTCTGCTTACTTTGGATTTAATATGCTCTCCTTTTTCTTATTTCCCAAAGTGAAAACTTAGATAATGATTTTTAGATCTTCTTTTCTAGTACGTACATTCAGTGCTATAAATTTTCCTCTAATCCCTGCTTTTACTGCATTCCACAAATGGTGATGATTTGCATTCTCATTCTCGCTTAGTCCAAAATACCTTTAAACTTCTCTTGAGGGATTTTCTTTGGCCTGTGTGTTATTTATAAGCGGGTTGTTTAACTTCCAAATATTTTGGGATTTTCTAGCTCCCATTCTGTTATTTTCATTGTGGTCTGAAAGAATACTTTGGGTAATTTCTATTCTTTTAAATTTGGGAAGGTGTGTTTTATGGACCAGGATGTGATCTACTTTGGTGAATGTCCCACATGAGCTTGAAAAGAATGTGTATCTGCTGTTGTTGGATGAAATATTCTGTAAACATCAATTAGATCCAGTTGATTGATGATGTTGTTTGGTTCAACTCCATTCTTATTAATTTTCTGCCTGCTGGATCTGTTATTTATGGGTAGAAGGGTAGAAAAGTTGCAACTATAATAATGGACTTTTCTATTTCTCCTTGCTATTCTATCAGTTTTTGTTTTATGCTGTTTGATGCTGTCTTGATAGGTGCATATATATTAAGAATTTTTATGTCTTCTTGGAGAAGAGAAGAAAACATAAGAGTATCATTATGTGATGCTTCCCTTTATCCCTGATAATTTTCCTTGCTCTGAAAACTACTTTGTCTGAAATTAATATAGCTACTCCAGTTTTTTTGATTTGTGTTAATACAGTATATCTTTTTCCATCCCTTTTTCATTGTACTCTACAAGTATCTTCCATCCTTTTCTGTATTTCCTATTCATTTTCATCTCAGTGTTTTTATTTGATTATTTTCTGTAGATATGTCTTTCAGTTCAGTAATCTTGCCTTCTGCCATGTTAAAACTGCTGTTAACACCCCTGTTAAAATTCTTAATTTTATTTTATTGATCTGTTATAAAATGTAATTTTTAAATAAACTACAATTCTCTGAAAGAAGTCTTCATCTTTTAATCCATTTTCTCCATATGCCTATGTTCTTGCACATGCTAGTTACTTTCAAATCCTTGTTTGCTAATTTACTATCTCGATGGCTTTTGGATCTGTTTATTGTCTTTTTTACCTCTCTTGGCTTACAATCATATGTTCTTGTCTCTTGGCATGCTTAGTAAATGTTTTTACTTAAAGGTAGACGTTATATATATAAAAAAAAATTATAGAGGCTCCAGTTAATAATATTTCTCCAGAGGCATTATCTTTTCTCTCTGCTGGGCATATACAGAGGGGCTTGTAATTTAACCCCAGAAGCTGTGCTGAATCAAAATATGTTTTATTTATTTATTTTTCCCACATATGCATGTTTTACTTTTTGAAAGGTTCTGTCTTCCTTTGGTTCATCTACAATCCTGGGATATATTGTTAGTGTTTTCTTCTGTTCACTGAGGGTCTTACCCTCGGCAAATCCTGAACTCAAATTTTTATATCAATATCACAGTAGGACTGCAGAAAGCAATGCTTTGCATTTAGGATGACTTCTGCTGAGTTGTATAGCCTCCCAAGTCATGCAGCTTCAGAAATAGGCAGATTCTTTAGAGAGAACAATGGCTCTCCCCCAGGATCAACCCTCTACTCTTCCTTTTTCACTGGAATGTTGCCTCCTTAAATTTCCAATTATATCTCTTCAGTCCTGTGAGACTTTCACACTCTCTGGTTTCTGTCCTCCAGCTGTGGCCCTCCGCCTGGGAAAAGTTCACATTCTCAGCCTCTTAGTTTGCAAGTAGAGTTGACAAACATCCTCAGTTGCAAAGTAAAGCTGCCAAACATCAGCTTACCTTTCTGCAGTTTTTTTACTTTCCAGAATCTTGGTTTCTTTAATGTCTGCTCGTTTTGTTACTGGAAAGGGCTCCCAATCCAGACCCTGAGACAGGGTTCTTGGATCTTATGCAAGAAAAAATTTGAGGCGAGTCCACAGAGTAAAGTGAAAGCAAGTTTATTAAGAAAGTAAATGAATATCCTGGCTAACATGGTGGAACCCCGTCTCTACTAAAAATACAAAAAAATTAGCCAGGCCTGGTGGCGGAAGCCTGTAGTCCCAGCTACTCGGGAGGCTGAGGCAGTAGAATGGAGTGAACCCAGGAGGCGGAGCTTGCAATCAGCCAAGATGGCGCCACTGCACTCCAGTCTGGGTGACAGAGCGAGACTCCGTCTCCAAAAACAAAGAGACAAACAAACAAAAGAAAATAAATGAATAAAAGAATGGCTACTCCATAGGCAGAGCAGCCTCAAAGGCTGCTGGCTGTCCATTTTTGTGATTGTTTCTTGATTATATACAAGAAATAAAAATAATAAATAATAAACAAGGTGTGGATTATTCATGATTCCCCTTTTTAGACCATATAGGGTAACTTCCTGACGTTGCCATGGCAGTTACCATGGCGTTACCATGGCAGTTGCCATGGTAAACTGTCATGGCACTGGTAGGAGTGTAGCAGTGAGGATGACCAGAGGTCACTCTCGTCACCATCTTGGTTTTGGTGGATTTTGGCGGGCTTCTTTCCTGCAACCTGTTTTATCAGCAAGGTCTTTATGAGCTGTTATCTTGTGGCAACCTCCTGTCTCATCCTGTGACTTAGAATGCCTTAACCATCTGGGAATGCAGCCCAGTAGGTCTCAGCCTTATTTTATCCAGCCCCTATTCAAGATGGAGTTCTTCCTCTTCTAACGCCTCTGACACTTTGGCAACTAGACAGTTGCCATTAAGTATTTTGAAAATTTTATTGCATTTTTCTAGTAATTCTCATAGGTACTATGAGTCTGCTGCAAACTGCTCTATCTAATGTGGCAACAGAAATCCAGGTTATCCTTGTTTGAAGTGAAAAATGTCCATCTAGGATGTTTTCAAGAAGAACTTTGTGTTTCATAAGGACCAAGAAAGCACACTTGAGCATGAAAATGGTGAAGTAGTTCACTTAAGAAAGGAAAGTGATCTCAGACTCTGAGTCCAAGGAAAACTGTTTTGAGTGAAAAGAGAAAGAGCTACATAACCCATGGACTAGATATTAAAATACTGTAAATTTTAATAACACCAAATGAATGACATGAAACTTCAAAACTTGTAATAGCCTCATTATTTTTGCTTGTATTATGAAACCCCTTTGAAATATAAGAATAAGTGTTGTTTAAATGTGTAGAACTCCTTTGGACTATCGATAAAGGAGGGGATCCCACAAGACAGGGTGAAGGATCAGGCAGGAAATATTAATGATCTCATCCTATTGAGTCCTTTGGGACATGGGGGTAGCAGTAGAATGTTACTTCAGAGAAGTGGCAAGAATCCAACTGGAGAAGCCTCCCATTAGGAGAGCTCACTTAGGTTTCCTGCTGCTCCATAGGTAATGCCTTTTAAGAGTGTTTATCTTATAAAGACATTTACAGGTAAGGTAGTGCAAAGGAAAACTTCTGTGATGATGGAATTTTTGGTACTCTGTAGCCCTTCAAATTTCTCTTGGTATATGTAAGGCTAGCTTTGCTCACTGGTCTTGAGAATTTGTGTTTTTGGTTACATATGGGAGTGGGAGATGGATCTGATTTGATGCCATGACTGACACCTGCTCTTCTCCTAGATGGAAAGAAGTGAATTTATGGTCCCTTGCTTCTCTTCCATTTCCCTTCACCAGTGGAAACTCTCTTTTCTGGTTTCCTTCACCAGGAAAAAGTATAGTCCTAAATGACCGAAATAGCTCTCAGTGTCAGATTAATGGATGATTTTAATGCCATTGCCTTGAGAAAAACAATTTCCAGCTTTTAAGATATGAGTAAATGAGAGAGCTACTGGAGATTGGTGTTGGGGTTGGGGGGTAGGTGGAGGGGAAACTCAGCATGATTGAAGTCCATTTGTAGATTTAAAATTCTTGTTGCTGAATGTATAAGCCTAAAAGTTACTCAGAAGCAATCCCAGGCCGGGCGTGGTGGCTCACGCCTGTAGTCCCAGCACTTGGGGAGGCTGAGGTAGGCAGATCATAAGGTCAGGAGTTCAAGATCAGCCTGACCAACATGGTGAAACCCTGTCTCTACTAAAAATACAAACATTAGCCAGGCATGGTGGCATGCATCTGTAATCCCAGCTACTCAGGGGCTGAGGCAGGAGAATAGCTTGAACCCGGGAGGCAGAGGTTGCGGTGAACTAAGATCGTGCCACTGCACTCCAGCCTGGGAAACAGAGCAAGACTCCGTCAAAAAAAAGAGACAATCCCAATATTCAGAATTCATTATCAGCTGCTGCCTAGCGTATCAAATGCATACATTCCACTGGTTTCCATTGGTTCCATTGTTTTCCACTGAATTTTTGTTAATGATTTTATGGTAGTTTCTGGGAAACCTGAAGGCAAAAAAAATTGTGAGGCAAACTCATTATTACTCCAAGAAAAATACCTCAACATTCTCATCTTGTGAAAGTAGCTTAGTGAAATTATCTTCTTACAACTAGACCACAGGATAAATACTTCTGAAATTTTGTAGGTTGACTTCAGCTCTCTGTACCTTAGTTAAAATAAATTTTGTGGTAATTTATTTCCAATCACTTAGTTATCAATAGAATTTTAAAAATGATTTGAGATGACTACTTTCTTAAAATTTATCTAAAACTCCCATTTATTTAACAATTGAAGATAGTAGGCCAAAAATAGTTAAACGGCTTACCAAAAGATACACAGCTGGTTTGTGATTGGTGGAGAGGCTGGGAACCAGAAAGCTGTGTTTGGGGTTTTCCACTCTATATCACCTGGCCTGTGACACCAGCTCTCGGGTGGCTACATAAGTTTCTACCTCTTCTGTCAGCTTTTTGTTATTCCCTAATGTTATGTTCTTAATAGCCTCTTGGACTAATTCTGCCATATGCTGTAAGTGACTCAAATTGATAACACTATTTTATTCAGAAGAATTCCTAGAGATGATACCTTGTTGTATAATTTTTTGAAGAAATAATCTGCTCTCATATTTAATAATTTGCAACAAAACACGTGGAAAACTGTCCTGTGAAGATATTCCATGCCACCCTGTCACTCGCTGAGCTACCCAATTCACTTCCCTATGGGCTACCTGTGTTATTAGATTCTCATGTAGCTTTGCAAAGGTATTTTACGAATATACAAGGAAAAAAATTTTATAAATTCTTTTAATGCCCTTTTTAGTAACAACTTTTATTGTGACAATAAAGACCTCCAATGTCAATGTCTGATACCAAGGTACTTTTGCTCATGGGTCTGTGGATTGACTGTGGCTCTGCTGGGTCCAGTGGGAATCAGCTGGGCTCAGTTGTGTTCAAGTCAGGTCTACTCCACCTGTTTTTTCTGGGATCCAAACTGAAGGAGCAACAGCTACGTGGTCATGCTCATCTCATAACAGATGGTGAGAGTGCCCTAGGGACTAGCAAACACACATGCTGCTTCTAAATTCTTTCCTTGCAATTAGCACACTCTCATTTCTACTTGCATGTCATTGCTTAAAGCAGATCACATGGCCCAGTCAAGAGTTAATGGGGTAGAGAAGCATATTCCTCCCACAGCGTAGTTGGAGGAGTGACTATTTGATGGCTAATGATGCTGATTATTAACCTAGTATGGGCTTACAAACTATATACTCTGTACTTTTATTTAACATATCTTGGAGATAGTTGTCTGTTAGTACATAAACACTTAAAATTTTTAAATAACTGTACAGTATTTCATTTTATGGATGTCTATGATGTAACTAATCAGTTCTCTATTGACGGACATTTTGATCATATCTAGCACTTCGCTATTACAAATATTACTGCAATGAGTAATATCATACACATATCATTTTGCATAAATGCAAGTTCTATCTGCAAAATAAATTCCTTGAAGTTGAATTGTTGGCTCCAAAGACAAATATTTAATTTTGCTAAATATTGCAAATTTCTTCTCTATAGACATTGTATCCTTACACATCTCCAATAGCAGTATGGGAAAGGGCTTATATCACCACATTTTTGCCAACTCTCTGTGTTACCCAGCTTTGAATCTTTTCCAATCTGGTGGAAAATAACATAGTGTTGATGTTGTCACTCTTATTATTTTGTTTTGTTTTTTAACCACAGTTATGTTGGCATATAATTCACTTATCATAAAATTTACCCTTTCTAACACGTACATCTCAGTAGGTCTTAGAATATCCACAGTATGGGCAACCATCACCACAATAAATTACACAGCACTTTCATCACCCCAGAAGTAATCCTGTACTCATATTAGTCATTTTTCCTTCTCGCTCCCCCTATCCCTCAGCAGCCATGAATCTACTTTTGTCTCTAAGAATTTGCAGAGTCTGGAGATGTCATCATAATTGGAATGAAATATCATGGGTTTTTTCACTTTGCATACTGTTTTCAAGGTTCATCTATTGAATCTCATCGTGGCATGTATCAGTACTTTATTCCTTTATGTTACTAATTTTTCATTATATGAACATAGAGCATTTTATTTCTTCATTCATCAATTGGTGGACACAGGTTGTTTCCACTTTTTGGCTATTATGGATAATGCTTCTCTGAACATCTGTAAACAAGTTTATGTGGACATACACTTTCATTTCTCTTGGATAGATACCTAGATGTGGAATTCTGGGTCATTTGTTAATTCCATGTCCAACAATTTGAAGAACCAATGCACCGTATTCCAGAGTGGAAACACAATTTTACAATCGCTCAGCAATATATTAAGGTTCCAGTTTTTTCACATCTTCACCAATACTTTTTAATTTCAGACATCCTAGATGATGCAAAGTTATCTCACAGTGGCTTTGATTTGCATTTCTCTAGACCTAACCATTTTCATATCTTTCCACGTGCTTATTGGCCATTGACATAGCTTCTTTGGCAAATACCTACTCCTCACTTTTTAGTTGAATTATTTGTCTTTTCATTGTTTAATTGTAAAAGTTGTCTTATATTCTTTTTTGTTTGTTTGTTTGAGATGGAGTCTCGCTCTGTTGCCCAGGCTGGAGTGTAGTGGCACCATTTCAGCTCACTGCAACCTCTGCCTCCCAGGTTCAAGCAATTCTTGTGCCTCAGCCTCCCAAGTAGCTGGGATTACAGGCATGCGCCCCCACACCTGGCTAACTTTTGTACTTTTAGTAGAGACGGGGTTTCGCCATGTTGACCAGGCTAGTCTCAAACTCCTGACCTCAAGTGATCCTCCTGCCTTGGCCTCCCCAAGTGCTGGGAGTACAGGTGTAAGCCACCACACCTGGCCTGTTTATCTATTGTTGATAGCAATCCCTTATCAGATACATGATTTTGAAACATTGTCTTTCATTGTGTGAGTTGTCTTTGTTGAAGAAACCGTTTTTTTCCCAGTGAATGGTCTTGGTTCCCTGGCCAAAAATCAATTGGCCATAGGGATATAGGTTTTGTTTTGGACTCTCAACTCTAATTCCTTCATCTATGTGTTTATCCTTATGCCCTTGCCATGCTGTCTTCATTTCTGTAGCTTTGTAGGAAGGTTAAAATACAGAAGTGTGAGTCCTCCAACTTTGTTTCTCTTTTTCAAGATTGTTTTGGATATTCTGGGCCCCTTGAATTTCAATATGAATTTTAAGATCAACTTGTAAATTTCTCCACAAAAGGCAGCTGGGATTTTGATAGGAATTGTGTTGAATCTATAGTCAGTGTAGTTTTAAACTGTATCTATTTATGAATTAGGTAGAACACATTTTTAAGGCCATTTGCTTTTCTTTTTCTAAACTAAGAACTTATATATATTTGGCTCTTTTCTTGTGGGTGTCAGTTCCAGTTCTGTTCTTGTACCACTCAAATTATGTTTGGAAACAAGACTAGAGGGATGGGCATGTTTCATAATTATATTGGAATATTGACTCATATACACTTTTCTCCACGATCCCCTCAAAAGGATTGGGTGCACTGGTGTTATGATAGAGAATATTTGAAACAACCAGACCTAAGCAATTAACCTGAATTAACAGGAAAAAGAAATTCTAAACTCTTTTTTTCCCTCTCCTCAGAAGACAAAGTGGTATTTATTGAAATCTCCATCGATTGAAAAATGTTCCAAAATAAGTTTCCTTAAAATAGCCAGACAACTCATCCTTGAAAGAAAGTCATTTCACAAGATTTACCAATTTATTCTTAATGTATATTTTTCTATCAGTATTTTTTTTCTTCAGATGTTTTATTTCCCTGTTCTTCATGCAGATAATTTGTAGAATTCTTGTCTTCCCTGTTTTGAAAGAATTTTCTTTAGTTTTGTGTGTGTTGTCTCTCTCTTTCTCTTATATAATATAAGCTTACAATTATTTATGCTTCTCTTGTATTATCCAATTTTCTACCTCTAATTTATAGGTCTTAAATTTAGCCCGGTCATGTCGCTTGGAAGAAAATAGCTTAGGTATATAGCCATGCCTTGGTTAGAGAAACAAATAGCTTCTGGATGTGTCAATGCCAGCAAATGAAGTGTCACCACAAGGGCATCCAATGACAGACAGGGACCACTTTCTTAATCCATTTTGTGTTGCTATAAAGGAATACCTGAGACTGGATCATTTATTTTAAAAAAGAAGTTTATTTGGCTCATGGTTCTGCAGACTATGCAGGAAGCATGGCATAGGAATCTGCTTCTGGGGAGGGCCTCAGGCTTCTTTCACTCATGGCAGGAGGTGGTGAGCTGGTGTGTGCAGAGATCACATGACAAGAGGGGAAGCAAGAGAGAAGGAGGAGGTCCAGGCTCTTCTTAACAACTACCTCTCTGGGGGAACTAATAGTGAATTCGTTCATCCCCATAACCCAGGGAAGGCATTAATCTTTCATGAGGGATTCATACCCAGGACCCAAACACCTCCCATTAAGCCCCACCTGTAACACTGGGGATGAAATTTCAACATGAGGTTTGGGAGTGACAAATAGCCAAGTTATAGCAGCCATCTTGCATACTGATCAAGGGTCAGTGGTCAGTGATTTTGCTGCTCTCTCATCTATGGTAGGAATAAGATTATAAATACAGGCCTTTGAGGGTTTTTGTTCAAAATATGAAGACCTCTTATTCTATTCACCTGGGGTGCTGAAAGGGCCCATTTTCATTCACTCCAAATTGGCTCTCCATGCCAGTGGCCATTATTCAATTCTTGATCACTGAAGGGCTCTGTAGATTGCTAAATGGCTCTGACTGTCCTTGATAATGCATTAGAGAAATGAAAAAGGCAGTGGCATTACAGCATAATTAAATTCAACTCATGAGCAAGGTAAGATGACCATGCTTTTTAAGCAAGTTTGCTCTAAGAGCCTGCTGCTGTCTCTTCAAATCTGTCCCTGGGAGCAGCTCATGTTTTACATCTGTCCAGTCTCTCTTACCTCTTTAACATGTGTTGTCCTGGATGGTGTCCCATCATGATTTTTGGTGACAGGCACAGTCTTGCGGAACATGGCTAAAGACCCACCCCTTGGGATATGCCATAAGGAAAAAAGTCATACATTACAGAGCTTAAATGTGGCATTTCTGCTGGAGAATGGTATGAATGAAATTTTGTTCATTTTTATTTAACATCTTTCTTCTAAAGAGGCCAAAGGAGGCCAGCTTTATACATGTCACTGTGAATCATCTCAGCATCACTCAGAAGTGGTACCGAATTCAGAAAAGCATTTTAATGGTGCTCTTGGCACCACTGGCAGAGAGTACTGATATTTGGCATTTCTGGGTAACCATGTTCTCTAGGCATTTTCCGTTTAATAGTTTCAGAGAAAAAGAGTTACTTCAGGTATGGCTGCAGCTATTTTTTCAAGAAATTGAGGAAAGAGAGGAACTAACCTCTGCATAGGTCCTCTCGTGTGCCAGACACTGTGCTAGATGATCAACAGGTATTATCGCATTTGATCCCATGACAGTCCTGTGAGGTAGGTTTTATTATTCCCCCCTATTTAAAATAAGAAAACTGAGGGTCAGTGAGATTAAGATCACACAGCTCTGACACGATGACAGAAGTGGGCTCTGAGTCCTGGTCCAACTCACAGGCTGAACCCCCTCTTCCACACTCACTATCCCACCCTCATGGAGGCTGAATGAAGAGTCTAACTCAGGATACCCAAAAGGTGGCATAAGGTTTGGCTGGCCCAAGAGACTCCTGTTCCGTACAATCACACTTCTATTATATGCCAAAGGGCCTGTTTTCCCCTGTAAGGTTTTAGAAAATGCTTTTCAATAACTTTATGTTTTCTAGAACAAAGGCTATTTATTTCTCACACTCCTAGCCAAGTTCACAGGAAATGGGTCTTTTGTCAGAAGAGGCTAACCATGACAGAAGCCCCTGTTATAAGTGAGATTGCCATGGATCACTTGCGGATGGTATTTTTGAGCCATTTCACTTTTTACAAATGGATCCCAGACTAGAATGTTCATTCAAGGACAAGCTGTGCTTTCTGCTGCTCTGTAAGCATGAGCAGAGAATGGGAGTAGGAGAGAGCAATACAGGAGTAGCTGAGGTCAAAACAGAAGACAGAAAGTCAAGGGTGTCTTGGAAATTGTCTTGGAAATTGATGGCTGTAGCACGTCAGCTTCATTGATGGTGCTGGGACTGAGCCATCACAGCTGCCAGAGCTGGAAGAGAGCTCAGAGATCACCCCGCATAATCTATTCATTTCTCAGATGGAAAAATTGAGCCATTGGAGATAAAGTGACTTGCCCAAAGTTAGGCAATTAAGACTCCCCACTTCTAGTCCAATGCCCTTTTCATGACACCACAATTATTTCAAGGTTGTGGAATGGTAAATGGCTTATAATTTTTCTATTTTCAATCTAATATATGATCTATTTTACATATATCATTTTTACTAATGTGAAATTTTCTTGAGCAAGAAATAAATTCTTTTATTTTAAGCCAGTGAGATTTTGAGGTTTGTCTGTCATCATAACATTACCTGCCTGTCCTAAATAATGCATGTGCCTATTGAGATGATTATGTACTTTTTCCTCCCTTAATGTATTTATTATATTACAATATAAGATTTTCTGATGTTGAGTTATCCTTGCATTCTTGAGATAGCCTTTATATTATGGCGTAGGAATATATATATATGATGTATTTGATATATATATGTATATATGTTACACTTAATTAACTAATATTTCATCTATTTTTGACTCTAAGATTACAAGTGAGGTTGGTCTATCATTTGCTTTTTTGTCCTGTTCTTGTCCCGTTTTGATATTCTGATATTCTAGATTCATAAATTGGCTAATTTTTCCTCATTTTCTATTCTCTGAAACAGATTGCTTAAGATAGAGATGGCGTATTCCTTGAGTTTTGAGCAAAGGGGAATTGTAGCATAGAATGAAGTTGGAGAGGTGAGGAGAAGCCAGATAATTTAGGGTCTTGAAGGCCACCATAAAAATTTCAGATTTTATTCTAAGGTCATTGGGAATCTATTGAAGGATTTAAGCCGCTGAACAGCATTATGCTCTTTTATGTACTTTAAATACAGTCATACATTGCTTAATGATAGTGATATGTTCTGAGAAATGCATTGTTAGGTGATTTTGTCGTTGTGCAAGCATCATAGAATGTACTTACGCAAACCTAAATGGTACAGTCTACTACACACCTAGGCTTTATGGAATAGCCTATTGCTCCTAGGCTACAAACCTGTACAGCATGTTACTCTCCTGAATACTGTAGGCAATTGTAACACAACAGTAAGTTTTTGTGTATCTAATCATAGAAAAGTTACAGTAAAACTATGGTATTATAATCTAATGGGACCACTGTCATACATGCAGTCTGTCGTTGACCAAAATATCATTGTATCACTGTGTCCATTACCTGAAGAATGCATTAAGGTGTTTAACAATGAAAGCAGAAATATTTAGAAGACTACTTAAGCAGTCAAGTTAAGAGATGACAGTGGCTTGGGCTAAGAGGTGACGGAGGAGGTAGGAGAATTGAATTGTCTTGATGTGATATTTATTTAAATATATATTGACAAGATTTGTTAATGGATTATATAAAAGAGTAAGGAAAAGGGAGAGATTACAGTTTGCTGGAATGAAACCTAGGCTTTCACCTGTGTAACTGGGTAGAGAATGTCCTAATTGCTTATGTGGAGAATTCTAGAAAAGGAATAATTTTGGGAGTGTAGGTAGATAAACCAGTAGTTCTATTTCGGAACTGAATAAATAGAAATGGCTATTAAAGGAAATTTGAGTTTGGAGCTCAGGAGAGAAATCAGGATATCATAGGTCTATTGATGGCATTGAAAGCCATGGAAGTGGATGAGATCACCAAAGGAGAGAGGTGAGACAGAGAAGAGGTCCCTGGGGCAGGAAAAGAAGTGAGCCAACAAGAGATAGAGCTTATCCTCCACAGGACTTGAGTTGTTCTCTGGTGTTCCTATTTGGAGTCTGGATGATTCTCCACGTACTTGGGCTGTGAGCATTCAGAAACTTGTTAATTTTGTTAGGCACAATGTTGGTGCTTAATAAGTAAAGGTTTGATTGATTCATAAAAAATACTGTTATTTCTGGGGCACATGCTTTGGAATCAGCAGGAGCTCTTATAGACAACTTCCCTGGCCTCTCTCTCTCTCTCTGCAGTGGCTCAACGGGGAGATGTCAGGTCCTCTTCCCTTAAGTATATCCTGGCCTAAATGTTCTGCTTGTGGTCAAGGTAGAATTGTGTCATCCATGTTTGGGAGTCCATATCATGCTTGTAAGGGGTGGGGAATTGGGTATTCAACAGGACTGCATCTGGTACACATCACATACAAGTCCCATGAGGGAGAGGCAGCCTCAGGCCAGGACAAATCTGAAGGCCTTGAATATCATATCCCTCGCCCAGGGCAGGGATTGTTAATCAGTCTCAATATTCCTTCTGCTGATCTTTCGGGTGCTTTCAGCTCTTTCTCAACACAAAGTATTCTGGTTGGCTGAACCAAAACAAAAGCAAAAGCTTTTTTGTCAATCAGGGAATAGACAGATGTTGGATTTAAGAGCTGGGGTGTTTGGGAGAGTTCAGTGGTATGTGTTTAGCTGCTCAAAATGATCAAAAGATATACCTCCAGGGTTTTGGTGTGCTGCAGGGTTGAATCCCAGGCTAGCCTAAGAACCTTGAAAAAATCTTGAGAAGATATCTTGTCTTCCAAATGTCTTGTTAATGGGTTGGTTCTATTGGTCAAAGATAAATAACACTGATTTTTATACCTTGAAAAATTAGCCCTGGAATTACTCATGATAAGAAAAAAAAGTATTTTCTGAAAGTCTAATATTTAAGGATATTGGAAAACACCACCTGTGTCAAGAAGATTGAAAGCTGCAGAATGGTTGGATAAAGTACAATAAGAGAAAACTTACACAGTGCAGATAGAAACTCAAGTTCCTAAGCTCTTTACCACAGATTGTGTGTAGCCTTTCAATTACAGAGTTACGTGTTGGTGGTGACTTCTTATAAAATGCAAAGTTGATGGACATAATTAACTAATTCAAGAACGAGTTCCTAAATGTTTTTCTATAAATTTCAGAATTCTACAAATTAAGTAATTTAAATAAACATTTTCATTCCTTCCTCTTTTTTTCTTTTTGCTATTTGTTTCTTTTTAAAAGCAAGTGTTAGGTTTGTAGAAATTCGGTAGTGCTAATTCTTGATTAACTGGAAGAGCTCAGAAATATTTATAAGTAGAAATGATGGAGAATCAAATACATGGAGAATAAAATAACTATAAATGAGTTCTTGTCTTGGCATGAACAGACACCCTCTTACCCTAAACAAGACAGACTTTGCATCTTCTGAGGAACTTCAAGGTGCTGACCAGCAGATACATTTAAGACACCATGTGACAAAGACCTACCTCGTGATAGGTAATCCATGATAACACATACTAAATGTTTCTTGGTGTGCAGTGAAGGCTAAAGCAGCTTTTCTCATAGTCACACTTCAGCAATGACCACCATAGCCCCTTCTGTCTCTCCAATGTTCCAAGCTCAATAAGTCCCCTCTGCAACAGAGGTCTTCCCTGATACTACCATAACTCAAAATGAACTCAATGAGGGAATTTATTCTTGGTATCAGTTATCTGTCATTTTTCCTACTTCACGCCAATCTTGTCCCAATTTACATTAAAATCATATTCTAAGTCCTCTTGGGAAAATGGTAGCATTCAGTTTTCTTTTTCTTTTTTGTTTGAGACAGAGTCTCTCTCTGCAGCCCAGGCTGGAGTGCAGTGGTGCGATCTCGTTCACTGCTACCTCTGCCTCCTGGGTCCTGGTTCAAGCAATTCTCCTGCCTCAGCCTCATGAGTAGCTGGGATTACAGGCACACGCCACCATGCCCAGCTAATTTTTGTATTTTTAGTAGAGGCGGGGTTTCACCATGTTGGCCAGGCTGGTCTTGAACTCCTGACCTCGTGATCCACCTGCCTTGGCCTCCCAAAGTGCTGGGATTACAGGTATGAGCCACCGCGCCCGGCTGGTAGCATTCAGTTTTCAAATGATTTCCTCGTATGTCATCTCATTTTGTAGTCAAAGAATATAAGAATTGGAAGTAACTTTTGTGGGCACCTAGACAAGCATCATTAGTGTAAGAACATCCCCTATGCAACTTTTCAAACTGGGGCCATTCAACTTCCCTCAGACACCTTCACCGATGTGCAGTTCACTCTTCAACTAAGGCCACTTTGAACTGCCCTAATTGTTAGAAAGTACTTCCTTCTGTTGAACTGAAATCTGTCTGCCTTAAACTTTTATCTATTAAATTTAAATTTGTCCTGTGGGGCTTGGCTGTTATGTTTGATTCTTTTCCCACAGAAGAGTCTTTTAATGTTTTAAGAAAATGATTGCAAATCACCCAAGTCTTCTCTTTCAGGGACAAAATGTCTTTTATTTCTTCCAGTCATCAGAGTGACTTTGAGCACCTTTGCCATCCTTATTGCTTTCCTTCAGCTTCATCAAGACACTCTTTCAGTGAATACCTACTTTGCTCCTGCTGTGTGCCTGGCACTGATCTAGGCACTGAGTGTACAAGAAAGGTGCAATAAGTAGTGGAAACAGGACAAAATCTCTATGCTCCTGGATCTTACATCACCGAGGTGGGGTCAGAGCATACATGAAGGATTTATAACCTTGGCATGTGCCATCCAGGATGTTCTAGACATGTCTGCACAAAGCATTGATGGGCCCATTTTCTAACACCTCCATTCATTTCGTCGGTACTTCTCCATCACTATATTTCTAGAAATGCAATTTGTGCTTATATTATCTTTTTTTGGTAGATGTGTGCTCTTTTTGAACAATATAGAGTTTGCTCTCAACCACAAACAAAAACCCAGTATCTTTTGTCATTCAAACTGATGTTCAGTTATATTTTCTCCATGCTGTTTAGTGCTAACCCAGCCCTCTCTGTTTGTCTTAGTTCCAGCTGCTATAACAAAATACCATAGAGTGGGTGGTTTATAGACAACAAATATTTATTTATCACAATTCTCGGGGCTGGGAAGTCCAAGATCAGGCTGATAGCATATCCAGTGACTGGTGAGGGCCCAATGCCTGGTTCATAGATGACCATCTTTTTGCTATGTTGTCATGTGGTAGAAAGGTTGCAAGGGAGCTCTCTGGGGTCTGTTTTATAAGAGCACTAATCTCATTCATGAAGTTACCACCCTCATGACCTACTTACCTCCCAAAGGCCCCATCTCCTAATACCATCACTTTGGGAATTAAGATTTCAACATATACTTTCTGTAAGGATACAACATTCAGACCATTGCACCCACCGAAGTATAAGTCTTAATATTTATTCTTGCTAAATTTCATCTTACTTGTTTCAGCTCATCTTTTCAGCCTGCGCAGATCTTCCTGGGTCCCCATGCCATTAGCTCTTCCTCATAGCTTTGTGCCACTTATACATCTGATTGACCACGTGAGTTCACTGTGCCCAGGCCCAGATAGGACAGGGGCATTCTGAGGGCAGTGCTTCGAGTCCTCCTCATGGACCTGCCTTTCTAGTGTGTCCTGCTCAGTTCATCAGTGCTCTTTTTGCCAGTCTCACTCAGCCTGTTATGAGTCCAATGAACTGTTACTCAACCCTGTTTTACCAGTATATTTTCAAAGCTAAAGCAAAATGTCCTGTCAAGTGCCTTGCTGAATAATATGTATTGCCTTAATATAACCCTCATTTGACAGTTTAGAGACCATATTTAAAGAGGAAACGAGGCTAGTCTGAGATGAGGTGTGACTGGTGAACATTCAGAGTGGCTCATTGTTCACCACTTTTCTGTTTAAGGGTTTAAAACTCATCCAATTACTGATTGGTTAAAGCTCATACTTCCTGGCTGGGCACAGTGGCTCATGCCTGTAATCCTATCACTTTGGGAGGCCAAAGCAGGTGGATCGCCTGAGCTCAGGAGTTTGAGACCAGCCAGGGCAACACGGCAAAACTCTGTCTCTACTAAAATACAAAAAATTAGCTGGGCATGGCAGCATGTGCCTGTAATCCCAGCTACTAGGGAGGCTGAGGCAGGAGAATTGCTAGAACCTGCGAGGTGGAGGTTGCAGTGAGCCAGGATTGCGCCACTGCACTCCAGCTTGGGTGACAGAATGAGAGTCAGCCTCAAAAAAAAAAAAAAAAAAAGAGGCTCAAACTTCCCAGCATAGGCTGTAGGTTCTGCATAATCTGTCCACAAGCTATAGACCACCTTCATTTCCATCCTCCAATCCCCATATGTCACTTCTTCTCTTTGAAATCAGCCATGCCAAAATTTTGCAGTCCATCAAGCCTTTGCCTTTATTCATGCTTCTGTGATTTGGCACATGTTATTCCACCTACCTGAAATGCTGCTGTGCTCTTCCTCCTTGTAGTCCATCTGGAAGATCCCTGATCAATTTTTAAAGACCCTGCCAAAATGTCCCCTTTTCATGGAAAATGTGCTTTCCTAACACTTTGTATGCACCTGAACTTAACACATTGCACTACAGTGATTTATAGATCTGTCTCTCCTACCTGCCTCTGCCATGGGAAAGGTCCATTCATTCATCATCAAAGACTACCATGATGCTTGGTGTGGTGCGGGAGCTCAGTAAACATTTGTTGAATTTTATTATAGAATTTTCCCATGGATAGGTTCTGGGCACCAATCCAGTTTGTGCATTCATGTTCTCCCTCATTTCAGGCAAATTGACTCTATTTTGCTATCTTTTTTCTCCACCATGCTTTAAAAATTGCTTAGGATTTCATTTCCAAATTCTCTCAGTGCCAATGGCTGGGACTGCTCTGATTCTGGTGATGAACACCATCGAGCACCCTTTTACAATTTCTTCCCTTATTTGGGGTCTCAGTTGCCTCTGAGAGAGTTGCCTCTTCTCACATAATGTGAAGAGCACCATATCTCAATATAAAGACTAGGGTTTTAGGTCCTGGCTCTAATTCTGTCTCAGTGTGTAACCTGGAGGAAGTAAATTCACTTCACTAAAGCCCAATTTCTTCATTGTAATTTGAGGGTAATCCCCTTCATTTTTATATTTTATTATTCTAATTATGTCTTCTATCATCTTCAATTTAGACTGTCCTCCTTGGCTAGGAATTTGGAAACCAAATAGGAGATTAGTTCCTCTGCGGTTTTTCACGTCAGGGGAAATGACTCCTGTCGTCCAGCTGCTGGAGCTCTGCTCCCATAAGCTGCCTGGTAAGAGCCCCAGGTATGGCCTGTTCTGCTATGCCTTGCCCTCCTATGGGGACACTGCTTCTCTCATCTCTCATGGTGTCATTCGGATCCAGTCATCTGGCCTGTTTCTACACTCTGGACACCAAACACGACTTGCTGGATGGACTGTTTTCCATCATTGTAGCTACAGCTGCTCCCAATATCTGCTCCACAGAATTGGTGGTTAATTTCTAGGCCACTGCATCTCTCGATATGGGCAACATGACTACTGCCAGACCGTCTTTCCAAATATTTAATTTGCCTTGGAATAAAAAGATTTTCACAGCAGAGCAAGACAAGGCAGATAATACAAATTTTGTTTTATGGCTAAGGAAACAGGCTTCAAGTGGTCAAATTACTCGCCCAATGCTACCTCGATTTTAAGCAGTGGAGACAGGTTAAAGCTCAGACATTTTGACACCTTCTCTAGTGGTGTTCCATCATGTCAAAAGGGCAGGAACAAAGTTTCAACATTTTCGGTATTCCTTCACAAACATTATACCACAACTCATTCATAATATGTGCTCAATTAGGCCGGGCACGGTGGCTCACACCTGTAATCCCAGCACTTTGGGAGGCCAAGGTGGGCGGATCACCTGAGGTTGGGAGTTCGAGGCCAGCCTGACCAACATGGAGAAACCCCCATCTCTACTAAAAATACGGAAGTAGCCAGCGTGGTGGCGCATGCCTGTAATCCCAGCTACTCAGGAGGCTGAAGCAGGAGAATTGCTTGAACCTGGGAGGCAGAGGTTGCGTTGAGCCAAGATCATGCCATTGCACTCCAGCCTGGGCAACAAGAGTGAAACTCTGTCTCAAAAAAAAAAAATAAGAAAGAAAGAAAGAAAGAAAGAAAGAAAGAAAGAAAGAAAGAAAGAAAGAAAGAAAGAAAGAAAGAAAATGTGCTCAATTAATTTGCCAGTTAATTAAAAAGAATATGACATTTTAAAATTGGGTAATTTTGGAAATACTCCAGATCAGAATTTAAACATGTCAACTGGAATGAGCGAGGAATAAACTCATGAAGAAGACAAATCTTAATTTTTACTTCTTTTTTCTTTATCAACTCTCTGACATTAGTATGGAATTTCTAATTAGAAGAAAAATGGCCACGAACTGGACAAAAGGATAGTAAAAGCGAAGAATAATTCATTAATGAGGATATTGTGCTGTAAATAATTGAGAGTTGATTACAAAAAAGAAGCTATTTCTTTAAAACTTGTCATTTGGGGTAAGATTTCCCAAACTATTTTGCTTTATTCCATGCTGCTTATATCAATCTTAACTCAATTATCTCATACAATTCCAATGTAGTATTGTGAACACTATAATCCCTTTAACATTGTTCTCATCTCTGTACTTGCCCCTGTGTCACTTATAATTCTTTCGCACAATAAAACCTCAAATTAATAAAGTGCTTCTCTTAGAAAATCAAAATGCTTTCTCCACGTTACCATTTAATTACGTCTCAAAGCATTCCTCTGTGAAGTGGGTGTGTGTTAGGAAGAGGAATTAGTCTTTCTCATTATGACACATAGGAAACAGCTTGGAAGAGCAGATCATTTCCATCCACAGGGAAACCTGACGCTAATTCAGTTCAGTTCGAGGTTGTTGACTGGGTTCTTCCAGTATACCCAGTTTTCAAACAGAATCATGCTAATGGACTCAATCACCCAGTAACTCAGCACATAATTACTGGATACCTATATATCAGAATTTATATATATTCTGATATATACTATATATCAGAGTTTGTTCTAGACGTTGAGGATATAGCAGTGTGAACAGAAGAAGAAAAATCTATGACCTTATGGAACTCAAATTTTTCTAGGAGACAGACATCAAACATAGATAAATTGTACAGTATGTTAGAAGGAGACACATGCTCTGAAAGGCAAGTAAATCAGTGTAAGGAGGAAGCAGAGTACAGGGAAGGTACATGGTTTTCTATAAAGTGGATAGAGTAGCCCTCACTGAGAGGATGCCATTGGAGTAAAGCAAGAGCATTCAAAGCAGAGGGATCAGCCAGTGCAAATGCCTGGAGGTGGCAGCATGCTTGGAATGTTTACAGAATCCAGGAGGGCAGTGTGGCTGGAACAGAGTAAATAAGACGGAAAGGGGCACAAATTGAGGTCAGATGTGGCAGAGAGTGCTCCAGAAGTGCCTCTTTCGCATTTTAAAGACATCTTGCCCTTTATGCAACATGGAGTGTTTTGGAGGATTTTAAGTAGAGAAGGGCCGTGATCACGCTGGCAGCTATGTTGAGAACAGACATAGGTGGGAAGGGATGCAAGCGGAGACCAGTTAGAAGGTTACTGCCTTCAACCAAGAGAGATTCAATGGTGCCTCAAAGCAGGGAGGAAGCAGAGGAGATGTTGTGCAGTGACCAGATTCTGGATACAGCTTCTAGGTAGACCCGGTGGGACTCACTGATGGAACTCCATGTGAGCTGTGAGAGAAAGGAAGGACTCTCATCTTCTGAATGAGACTGGTTGCTCCTTGAGGACAAAAATCACCTGTTATATTTCTTTATGATCTTTGTAGAAACCTAAGAAGGCTTCATGCACAATAAATCCATGACTAAGTTTTTGTTAAATGAAAAAAGGAGGGAAAAAGCAGGTCTATATCAATAGATTTGGGGTTCCTATATCCATAATGATTTGCAAAAATAGACACTATTTCCTGTATTTCCACAAAATCTTAAAAACTGACTATTTTTCCCAAGGTAACGCTACTGAAGCTAAAAAAAATCTTGAAATGTCTTTGTTTGGGCTGGAATTCATTACCTTGATGAGGTAACAGGTCTTTTATCTGCTATTTAGAAGTTCTGCCTGGCATGTAAAATGGATGTATTATTACCATTTAATTTGTTTGACAAAAATATTAATAAAATACAAGGCTTACAAGAAAAATAGTAAAATGTTTTGGATATAATGATTGAGAACCACATATTCACACGGTTTTTAAAGAAAGGACCCCCCCCCCACAAAAAAACTACTCCACAATATCTATACTTTCTTTTTTATTCTTGTTTACAACATAAAGGACTCCATTATCTAGAAAGAAAGCACAAAAGAGAACATGTTGAATCTTATGATGGGTTTTTGGAGACGACCTAGTCTAATTCACTAAGTTTATATTTGAAAAATACAAGTCGTAGAAACGTTAAGGTGATAGACATAATTTTGTTTCCAATATACAGTAACACAAATTCTGAGTAGTCTAATGAGGACTAACAAATAACAGTAGAAAAATTGTGAAATATGCTATTTCTTGAACCTTCCTTCTTCATGTTTGCTTGGCAACAGTAATTAGACACGAACAATCTTGAGTCATAACTGCCCAGAGAGCACGGTGAGAGGTAGGTGTGTGGAAGGATGGCAGATGAGGGAGAAAATAGAATGAGAGGCACCTTGATGGGAGAACTCTAGCTTTTTTAAACTCATACTGTTGCTAGGAGGCATTTGTGCATAATTTTTCACAGGGCTTTACAGTCAGACACAGGCATATTTGAGTCAAGACTCTGATATTTAGAAGGTGTGCGATCATGGCCAAGTTTCCTAACTAGGACATTGGTGTCTTACATACCTTATAGGGAAGTTTTGTCAGCTATGGTAAGACTATTTTTAATATGGTTAGAGACAGCAGGAATTCAATACATGATGTTTTTATTACTAGTAATTTTCCTAATGGGTTTCAGCATTTCTTCCCTTTGTGTCTGAATAGAAACTCCTTCACCCTTCATATAGTAGATATCCTGCTAGTCCTTGAAGAGCCCGGTTTGAATGTCAATCTCTCCTTCAGTAGTTCATACACTGTCATTCAGTTTTTCACTTACATGCAGCTATTTGTCTCAAGATCTTATCTACCTAAGTTGGATTTCTTGTAGAATAGTGAAAAGAACCCAGAAGTCTTGGATTTGAGCTCTGCCAGCCACTCTTTCATGAAAGTGGAACCATTATGAATATAATGGAATCAGGGATGTATTATGAGAACTTACACAATTGTTGAGAAGGTTATTTTCCAGAAGAAGGAATTCACAGATCTGAGGAAAGTCACTATTGGGTTTCCTGAGGTCCTTGTGTGTATGGGCAAGTCAGAACTTCCAGGGGAATCTGGGAGGCCTGCCACATCCAGGAGGGGGACCCTGAAAGAAAGCTGGAAGAATACTCGGTGAAAAGCTTTTGTCTTTGCCTGGCTACTGCCTCTTTGGATCCATGTTAAGGCCCTTGTGATGGGTGTGTGGCTACTGTTGATCAGCTGTGCTGGAAATTTGGAAGATCTGGGTGTGAAGTGGGGGAGGGCCAGGACATGCTAGAACCCTCCAGGTGTCTGCATGTGTTGTCACAGCAAACTACAAAGACCTTGAGAGAGGAATAGATACTGTTTCACTCTGTTTCCCAAATCTTGCAAGAATTCGTCTTTGGGCCAACCGTACTTACATGCATACACTTACATGCATACGGGCAAGAGGATCCTGAGAAACATTGTTCCAGCTAATGCAGTCGATAGAGTACAAACCACCACTGCCACTTCTTGGCTATGTTGGTTGTATTGGGAAGTTGACCCAACCTTTCTGATCCTCTCCTTCCTCATTGTTGTATTGATGTAAATGAGATAACTATTATAACTATAGGGTCATTAGTAAGAATTAAATAAGATAATGCAAAAAAATCCATTACAAAATACATAGCTGGATGCAGTGGCTCATGCCTGTAATCCCAGCATTTTGGGAGGCCAAGGTGGGCGAATGACCTGGGATCACGAGTTCGAGACCAGCCTGGCCAACATCTCTACTAAAAATACAAAAATTGGCCAGGCATGGTGGCACGTGCCTGTAATCCCAGCTATTCAGGAGGCTGAGGCAGGAGAATCACTTGAACCTGGGAGGCAGAGGTTGCAGTGAGCAGAGACTGCACCACTGCCCTCCAGCCTGGGTGACAGAGCAAGACTTCATCTCAAAAAAAAATACAATTGCAAAATACAAAAGAACCTATCAGATTACTGTTACTAGATACATCCATTCATTTCATTAATGTATGTTTATTGTGCATCTACTATGCACCAGCAACTATACTATGCCTAGGATCTGAGGCAGTGACAATATCCTTGCTATCTTCAAGCTGAATCAGGCATAATTAGATATTCAAGTGGAGATGTAAAGTGAGCATTTGACAGACTGGATTTCAGGGGATAGATCCTGGTTAAAAATATACACTTGGAAGTTATTAGTGTTTAATAATGAAATACTAAAATGTATGAGCCTGAATTGGGTCACTTTAGGTACAGTGCATGTAAATTGAGAGGAGAAGAGGCTTAATGACTAAGATCCAAGATGCTTCAGAATTTGGGGGTCAAAAAGACAAAGAGGAACAAGCAATGAGAGTGAGAAAAAGCAGCCAGTAATGCAGAAAGAGAAATAATAGAGAGTGGTGTCCGGGTTAATTTATGCTGAAAAGTCAATTCATATGACAATTGAGAATTGACCATCAGCTTAGCACCATGGAGGTCATTTGCCAAAGTGGAACAGGTTCAACATGGAATGGAAAGATTTTGGCATAAAGGGAAGAAGGAAAATAGGGTGGCAATAAGTGGAAAGGGTGTCAAGAGATATTATATATATGTATGTTTATGTGTGTGTATAATTTATATATATAAATTAAATAGAGCCAATTATATATATGATAAATAGAGCTATATATATATATAGGCTCTCTATATATAGAGCTTGGGTACAGCTTCCTATGAGGATGGAAACTTTACCCAGAGATGCAAAGGAGGAGGAAGACTGCTTCCTTCAGGCGGTTCTCTCTTAAGAGGAAAATGGTCAAACTGAGTGAGCATACCCAGTTGTATTTGCAAATTTATTAATCCAAGTCATGCAAGTCACATCAACTTCTCAGGAGCAGACTGAACAAGAGGGAAGAGAGAGGGGTTAAAGGAGGGATAAGTAGATTTCAGCGAGAGCAAAAACGTTAAAGAAATATTTCGAGAAGTCGAAAACGAAGAGAATTTTGCTGAAGAAGATTCTAAGTTCCAGAGGCTACAGTGGAAAGATGTGGGGAGTTGGAGTGGGAGACAGGTCAGACTAGAGTGTGTGTAGTTTGGGACAATGATATTTCTCCTGTAGTACTTGGAACAGGGGCTAGGTTAGATAAATATTTGTTCCTTGAGAGAAACCTGACAAGACCTGCATGGGGCTGGGGTAATACATTGGTCCACATGGACCCCTGTTTGAGTAGAAGTGTTATCTCCAATAAGGTCTAGTCTGCTTAGACCAAGGGGTCAGGAAAGGCTGACCTTGATTATCTTCTCCTTCTGTCCCTCCCTCTCCTCCACACCTGGCCCAGTAGAGGAAGGAAAACTAGATTTACAGCTGATCTTGATTATCTTCTCCTTCTCTCCCTCCCTCTCCTCCACAGCTGGCCCAGGAGAGGAAGGAAAACTAGATTTACAGCGGCCCAGCCCTTCCCCCTGAAAGCCAGAGGCACAGGTTGCTTTACTACCACCGAGACAAAAGTGATCTGTCTCCTTTATGTCATTCTAATCCTTACAGAAGAATTTGTGGCAGCAGTACGAAGACTATAGCTAGGAGGATCAGCACCTCAGAAGCTCTTTGAAAATTGCTAGAGGATGAGGGCAGTGGGCAAGAGGAAAGTTCCTCTGAGCACCTTCTGTTAAAAGGAGAAGCCAGGCCTTGGGGATGTTCCTTCAGTTTCACAAGTGGCAAGATTTTCACCTCCGGTTGGCAGCTTTCAAATCGTTTCCCATTTCTCCAACTTAGGAAGAAGCTGTGAAAACCGCAGGCAAACGGGGATGAATGATTCATTTGGTCCTGGCCATTTCCTTCATTCCTAGGGTGTCTCAATATCTCTCTACTCTGTTATTTAAGCATAATAATAATAATAATAATAATAATAATAATAATAATAATAATAATAATAAATCATCTGCTTCCCTGGGACTTTCAGCGGAGTCGTTAGGCACGTGATGAAACCTTGGTTTGCACGGGGCTCCATCCATCCATTCATCCGTGCATCCGTCCGTCCATCTGTCCATCCATTCACTAGACCACCCACCCACCTACCACCCACCCACCCATCGCACAGCCTTCCTCCCTTTCCGGCTTACACTGGGCGTTAAACTCCGGTCTCTCCAGGCCTCCGGCGCACGTACACACGCGCGGGCGAGCGGGCGGGGTGTGCGGGAGCGCGGGCTGGCCGCGCCGGGGGCAGGACTACAGCCTCCCGAGGGGCGCGAGGGCGGGAGGCCGGGGAGGCCCGGGAGGCCCGGGCGGTGTGGCGGCGGCCGAGCCGAGCCCATCCGAGCCGGCACCTTCGGACGCCCCTGTCCCACGTGACTGTCCCCTCCTCCCTCCTCCCAGTCGCGCGCACGGGCCGGGCGTCTCGACTCCCGCGCGCGCTCGGCTGGTCCCAGTCCCCGGGAGAAGAAGCGGAGGAGGGAGAGAGCCAGCGAGGCGGCCCAGGGGAGCGGGCGCGAGTGGCGGCTGCCGGAGCCGCCTGTGCACGGGCGGCGGCGAGGCGAGGGTGGCGGTCGCCTGAGCAGCTAGAGCCGGGGCGGCGCGGAATCCGCATCCGCCGCGAGTGTGATGAAGCTACCCTGCCTCGCTGCTCCGCTTGCCGCCAGCTGACACCGCCTGCACCCAGCCCGCCCGGGAGGGGAGACGCCGCGGGGCCGTGACCTTGGCGGAGGAGGTAAATAGGGAAGGCGGGCGGGGAGGAGGCAGCGCCACCCAGAGCCCTCCCGGCCCCCGGCCCGCACCCAGCCCTCGCTCTGCGCAGCGGGAGCGTCCGCGGGCGCAGGGCGGCCGCCCCCGGGAGCCCCGCGCCGGGGCTGGGCTACGGGCGCCGCGCGCACCCCGCGGTCCACGGTGCTGAAACTGCTGCCCGGCTCCGGCGGCCGCCGCGGCGCGGGGCACAGGCTCGCCTGCCATTTGCTGCTGCCGTGAGAGCGAGCAAGGGGAGCAGGGGCTTGCCTGTTTTCTCCTCTTTGGCTGGTTGCTCTGGAGGCTTCTGCAGTTAGGCTTTTACCCACGGTGACCCGGGTAAAATGGCCTGAAGGCTTGACCTCCCACTAGTTCTTGTTGCCGGGACATATTCTGGTGTCTTCTTGCAAAAATTAGGCAGGATTACCTCCGGACTTCCGAAGCGAAGTGGGGAGAAAGGAGAGCAGCCGGTGGCTGGCAGCGCAGGCAGGTGAAAGTAGGCGAAGCATATACTCCGGCTCTGTGTGGGAGACCCGGGGGAATAGAGAGGAAGCCCGTGCGCTGGAGAATGACACCGGGAATGGGCCTCTCTGATGGGCTGCAGGTGGGGACACTAGACAGATACCTAGGAGAAAGTGTGCTAACCCGCCCCCCACTCCCCCACCGCATCCCCCAGGTGTTGCCTTTCCACCCTTTGGGGAAAACATCACCAAGTTCAGATGCAAGTATTGGGAGAGAAGAGAACTCTGTACTAGGAAAATGCTACCCACGAGTTTTTAGGGTGAGCATCAAACACTTCTCAAAATGAGTATCCAGAAAATGAAGTCAGCTAAAACAATAACCAAATGGCTATTTCTACCTGGAAGATTGTAATTTCTTACAATTCCTTGAGGTTATTGTAGGTGTCAACTCACTTTTTAAAAAATCCATGTCCTGTGTCACTTTCTCCAGCCAGCCCCAGTTTGTAAGAACGCGCCATGTGGGGTGGGTGCTGTGAATGATGATGATGAATCAGGGGAGTCCCACTGGGATCTCACTGAAGTCTCTCTGACCCTTTGCAGGGCACACTGATAATTCTTGTATCTTGAGAGTGGACCAAGTTTTGGGTGACATGGCCCAGGGGAATAATTATGGGCAGACCAGCAACGGGGTGGCCGATGAATCACCCAACATGCTGGTGTACAGAAAGGTAAGAATGTCTTCAGTTTCTTGGAAAACGGGAAACTTCCGGCTTTCTCGATTTTTTTCCCCCTCTAGATCAGAGTATGTATCAACTTTGTGGCCTTGTGGATTTCCCAGATCATCAGTGATTATGTACTATATACGTGAAAGTGATCTGACATTCTCAAATGATGCATATGTGGGGAAACACACTGAAGTAAATGAGGCCTCCTCACGTGTTCCCTGCTGGTTTTGAATAGATTATTCTGTCCTGAGCAATGACAGCACGTTTGGGCATTCCAGATATTTTGGTTGTTATACACATGATTTAGTAGCATCCGTAATAATTTTAGAAGCTTTTTCTTATACCCCCTTTAAACATTTAGGTTATAATAATGATATAAGCATATCACATTTTAGAAATAAAAGTAGACCACTTTGCAATTTTGTGGCAAGAGAGACTGTGTCTGTGTAAATGTATGTGGTTTACTAATTTCGTTCTTGACTAAACAATTCTAGTCTTTTTTTGTCTTAGCCTAAATTATTTTTTACTTTCTGTTACTTTTATGACTTGGGGTATTTATGGGTATTTATATTCTAGTGCCGTATGCCTATTAAATCATTAAATAATATTTATCTTGCAGAGTTGCTTTTTTTTGGCCACAAATAGATTTGACAGCCTTATACATTTAATAGCAATGCTACTGGCAACAAACTTTTAGACACTGAGCAACCATAATAAAGATGCGTTTAACTATTACATGTGCTTTTGAGTGATTGCTTAGGCAGCTTCACTCTGGTTATCATCAACAATCTTACTAAAATTAAGGATGCAGTGTTCTTCTGCCCCAATCATTTTTATTGCATTTTATAGATGATTTTTTGAGTATATTATCTGGAGTGCTTATTGGGCAATATTTCTTTAGTTAACACTAACAATGGTAAAAAGGAAGTCATGCTTTGAAACACCCCAAAATTGTTAAAGGCTTTAATTAGAGAAAAGCCCATTGAAGAGTTCAAGATGTTTGCATTTCTTTCTTTTTCAGCAAGGGGATCAGAGCTGATTATGAATAAAGATGAAAGACTATGTGCTACTTTAACCTGCACTAAATCAAAACTTTTCATCCGTGTAGCCCAGAATCATTAAAAGGTAGTGATGAATATGTGTTTGAGGGAATATTGCTATGGCTTTAATGGAAAGATGCACAGGCGTCCTGGTACAATGCTAGCTGTTTTATTCTCTAGCCTGGGCGAACAGTACTATACTGTGTACCTATGAATGCATTTATATGTGTCTGAGATAAAACAGTATGATGGGAAAGATAAATCAGAACTTAGCTTTCTATGTTAGTCTTAAAGCATTCCAACTGCATAAATCAGGAAAATAATCTACTTGAGTTTAAATTATTAGTATTGTATTTTTAAGTTAATTGAAATAACTGGATACCTGTCTATTCTATTTAGAGTTGGTTTTGAGAAGAAATATTTTGGGGGGAGTTCGGTGGTTTCAAATAAGTCATAATATTTTGTGTTTGGTAAGACTCTGAGTATTGTAATATGCAAGCTGTGAGAATTTTGAATTCTATCTTATGGGTGTATACAATGTGAAGAGTTAGACTTTTGGTTGGAAAATTATAGTAGTAAGCTATTTCCGTTAGGCTAAACAATTGTATTCCCTCTCTGTTTCCCTTTAAAAGATTAAGGACTGAGTAGATTGGACACCTAATAGTTATCTTCATTAGAAATAAACTAAATATGCAGCAACTAGTGTGTGTCATTCAGTCAGTTATTATGAGAACAAAAAAAGAAAAAATAAGAAGACAGGGCTTTCAGAAATAGTTATTTGACTGTTTAGTGTACCTGAGCCTCATATTGGTAATTTTGGGTTTACTCTACACAGTGTTGTATAGCATCGAATCGCCATTAATTTTACTTTTAAGTTAACAGACTGTAATGATTTCAGGAAGAGAATGTACTACCTCATTTTTTAAAGCATGATTATTTTGTTGATTAAGCTGGGAACTGCTTGTGCTACTCATTTTTCCCTTCTTTTATTAGCTTTTTGCTTATTATTAGTGACCACATATAACTTACTTGTCAAAGAAAGATTTTCTTGATAAGGCATTATTGGAAAAAGTAACTCCTTTCAGTACATTTTACTCTTAATGCTTACCTATGGATTGTCTGTCTATTCTTGTATTCTCTGAGCATATGTTTTTTGTTTTTCTTTGTGATAGAAATAACAATATATAAATAATATCAGATAATGTATAAAGAGACACAGCGTCCTTGCTTATCATTTGCTAGTTATCAGGTCAAATGGTCTTTATCTGTGTGTAGACATAGATCGTGACATCACATATTTCGTGTGTCCATTATGCTTCTATTTTTTCTATCTTATATGGGCTTTCCATTCAATATCTTCTCAGTAGAGGCCAAATTTCAATGTGAAGAACAACACAATAATTGGAGAGGGGTGTTGGTTGAATATGTGTGTTAGGATATTTCAACTGCTCTGCCTTCATAAAGGAATAAACACTAGATTACAATGCTTATTAATTAGGAAGTCAATCGAAGACTTAGAAAAAAAGTTCAGTTCCAATAGGACATTGCTTAGTAACAGTGGAGAGAAAGGATAGAGAAATTGCTGTTCTATTGACTCATGCCCATTTCCCCTTCTACTTCACTATTGAAGCATCGTTCTTGAAAGTGTGTTCTGAACTGGGAATATTCGTGGTGTTTTCCCTCCTCATGACACCTCCTGTTTACTTATTGCATATGACTCTGATGATTTACACACACTCAAGATATGTATGTGCTGTTTCCATTTTATCTTCATAGGCTATTGGTTTCCAAAGTGGAATACACAGAAAAGCTGGGATGTGTAAATTTCTTGTGTGTGTTTGATGTTTCTCTCGTTATCACTATCCTCATACAAATTACAGGAGTTCCTCCAAATCACAGAAAGATTCCAGGGATCTGTTTTCCATGGAGAAGTCCATAGGAATCTTATGGAAAAAATGTACAGCGGATAAAACTCTGATTGTTAAGGTAGAGTGGATATCACCCTATTGAAGGGTACAGGTGATGGTAATGTTGCTTCATGATCCGGATTAGGGTTGGTACTTGCAAGTCAGTCTTGGATGTTGGCCAGTAGGTTTTTGGCATAATACAGGGAATCTCAGTAGAGTTCATTTGATGTCAGAGACACATTTTAAAAATCCTTATAGGCAAATTATTTGCCTTATCAGTTCTTCTGTTTAGAGTGCTGTCTTTTTCATAAGCAGATGATTAAATTACAATGGCTGTGGTGTTTTATGTACTTGAGGGTGTCTTGTTTAAAAACACATAAAATTATGAGGCTTGACTGCTTTTATTCCTGGCACTTTTTAGGCCTCCTTCAGTCAGGCCCCTAACTAGATTAGAACTAGTAGTAATCAACTGCCTTAGGAAGAAGAGACCCAACTAACTCCAAGAGGTGTTGGATTCAGATCAGCTTCTTGAAGAATCTGTAGAGGTGACAAGTCAAAACTCAGTGTTATTTGGTGTTGATGGATCTTAAACACTACCCCCGTTTTTGGTCGGCTTTAGACAAAACTCTCCTTTGTGGGGGCAGCACTGGCCGTAAAGAACAACTGAGTACAGGGAGAGACACTCCAAATTTGGTGTCTGGCCAGCATGCTGTCCACTAGACAGTATACATCACTTTCAGTCCAGCAGCTGACATTCCTGCATTTGAAAAACAAAATTTCTAGGTCACCTTGGGGCCAGAGCTTCAAATTGGCTGGAATGCTGGCTTCTCACTAGCAAGACTCCTCAAAATGCCCAATAATTTCTGATATTATTGCAGCTATCATTTATGCTCAAGCTGTCAGAAAAGAAAATGAAAATGTTTTCCTCATTCATTATCTTACTGCAGTAAACATGGTTTTGGAAATAGCAGACTTACCAAGTTCACTGTTCCTCACCCCTCTCCCCCTTCCCCTCACCTTTCTCCTATGCCCATTCTCTCCTCCATTCTCCTGTGCTGTCCCTTCATCCTTATATAGTCTCTTGCTTTGCATTCGTTTGTTTTTATTTTTTCTTTTCAAACCTGACTTAAAGTTGAGGACATAATTTGCACTGTTTATTTAGTTGTAAAGGAGGAAACAATGCCTTTTGGAGAAGAGAATAGATGCCAGCCTTGTTACTTGTGAAGCTCAGGTACCTGAATAAATCTTTCACATATGGTATCATATGGTGGTACTGGCAAAAGGTTGTTATTTTAGGGTTAAGATTGCTCCATTCTATTTTTTTTTTTTTTAAATAAAGTCAGGGTATTGCTCTGTTGACCAGGCTGGAGTGCAGTGGTGCAATCATAGCTCACTTTAACCTTGAACTCCTAGGCTCAAGCTATCCTCCCACCTCAGCCTCCCAAGTAGCTGGGACTACAGGTGGGTGCCATGATGCCTGTATAATTTTTTTGTTTTTTCTAGAGATGGGGTCTCACTATGTTGCCCAGGGTGGTCTTGAATTCCTAGGCTCAAGCCATCCTTCCGCCTCAGCCTCCCATACTGCTGAGATTACAGGGGTGAGCCACAGTGCCCAGCCGTGACTGCTCCATTCTTGAAGAGCAAGACAAGACCACTGGCTTTTCTTATATGAAGTCACAGTGAGAGCTATCACCCAACCAGGAAGAGTACTTACGCTGATTGGCTTGATCTAAGCATTGTCTTTGAAAGCTACTTCTGAAGTCAGCCTGTTTTATGAGAGGAGACATACTTGCCAGAGAGAGGAGTGGCTTGATTTCTTCTCTGGAAGAGACTGGGCCACAGATATTACTGGTCTCTTAGCATTGAGCTAGCTGACATATTCTACATTAACTCAGTGGGTTTGTCAGTGCAGGACTGCCCATCTGGTCAACGCTGAGGGTGTCGATGTTTCTCGCCGAAATCCCCGTCGTGAAAAATAATCTTTGGCTTTTTTTTTTTTTTTTTTTTTTTTTTGAGATGGGGTCTCATTGTATTGGCCAGACTGGTCTTGAACTCTTGGGCTCAAGTGAACCTCCTGCTTTAGCCTTCTGAGTAGCTGGGAGTATAGGTATGCACCACCGTGCCCAGTTGATCTTTAACATTTTTGAACCTTAGTTTTCTTAATCCGTCTGGGTTTACTACATGTTAGCAGAGTGAGGAATATATACAAGGGACAACAAGACAAAGACGCACTAGAAAAGGAAGGAATGTTTGTAAAAGATCATTATGAAAGGCATGGTCCTTTTAAGCCCTCAGATTTCTAAATTAAGGGCTCAGATGGGAGGCAGGCACTGAGAGAAGGATCTTGCCATTTCTGAAAAATTTTTAAATGGAGTGTCTTTTGTAAATCAGATTATTTGAAAGAAACTTTCTGGACCAAAGGATGTTGTCTACCCTAAACATATTCAGATCTGTTTTTATCTCAGTGATACTAATACTGACATGTACCCTGAGATAAGATAGGACCATCATTGATATTTCCATGATGATATTTCTTGATGAGAAGTAGATAGAAGGATTTTATGAGTAATCATTTAATGATGAATTTTGGATAATAATTGAGTTTAGAGCAGGAGAGTCTTCCAGGGTTGAGCTCTTTCCTTGCCAGTTGTTGTTTGTCAGTGCTACTTGTGGGATTATGAGAAGGATTTGTGGCCTGAATTTTATTTCTTTTATTTCCCACTTCCAATCTCCCTGAATCTAATTGATCAGAGGAAAGTGCAAATGTGCAAAAGAGAAGCCCTCGAGGGATTTTATTACCTTCTAATAGCCTCTGTGGTTCTAGTGAGTGATGGAAAGCAGGGTATTTTTAGGAAGTGTGGGTGACAGAATGTGATCACTGCAGAGAATGTGGAAATACTTTGAATTTGGACAGTTTAGTGACTTTAATGTTAAGTCTCTTTGAAAACAAGATTGTGGAAAACGAGCAACACAAATAATTGGCCCTTGCTTTCCACTTCATGACAGTGATAAGGAGGCATATGGATGTCAGGGTTACTCAGGCTTCTATCCTACAAAATATCAACCCAATTATAAAATAATTGTAGATGATAGAGTGGGTGCCCAGTTCCGTAGGAAACAAAGGCCCACTTCTTTCTGCCATTTGCCCACAGCCATGCAAATTTAACTTGGCTTCTTTTTAATGCCCTTTGTCTTGTGTCTAATTAACAAAAGTCTCAGGACATTGGAACACTAACAGGCAATCATGAACTCAATTCCAGCTCCACTGAAATTGCCACCTGGTCTAGACTAGAAAATATTTTGGCTGAGTGGCCTATCTGGAAAGATACATTGTTGTTTTGTCGTCTGGAAAAATATATAGGAAATGGCAGTTTTGTGAAATTAGCTGGGTTCCTAAAAAGTTTGAGAGTCTTCTTTGGTCCTTTCTGGTGATTGACAAGTAAAAGTTTTCTTAAGGAGACAATGGGTGGAAATGGAGGAAGCATGTGCACTAGAATTGGGAAGTCTTGGTTTTAAATCTCAGCTCTGCCACTGTTTAGTTGTGTGGCTGTGGTTTGGTGACCTAACTTCTTTCACTGCAGTTTTTTAATCTATAAAGTGATAAAAAAATAAAAAATGTTTTAATGTTTTCTTCATAGAGCTGTTTGATGCTAGAATGGGATAGCCTGGGGAAAATGTCTTGCATAGAACCTAGTATATATTAGGTTTCCAATACATGCCTGCTAGTATAATTAATATTATTATCATTTTATCTTATTACTATTCTTCAACAAAAATTATTAAACACCCGATATATGCCAGGTGGGGTACCCTATGTTACCATATTTTTTGATAATGAAAGAAAAGTGAATGTTTCCACTACCTCCAGTCATATTTTTCTGGTAAGATAAAGAGGAGGCTTCTGTAGGATGCATTGGTAATACCATTTTTATGATACTTAAAATGTCCCGTCTTACATTGTTTAGCCCTATCTAGACAGCTTCCTCTACTCATTAATGGGAAAGTCTTTGGCATCTTGTCTTATATATCTTGGCAGTCTGCACAGTTCCTTGGGTATTATGCAAACTATATAAAGCCTTAGAATCCAGGAATTTCAGAGGTGAAAGGAAACTCAGAGTTAATCTACTTTTTCATTTTGCAGATTATGAAATTTAGGATCAGAGAAGTAACACAATTTGCCTGAAGTCACGCAGCTTGAATTCAGGTCTTTATTTATTTGTCTTTCTATGGCCTCTCTTTCTTTCTCTGTCAATAAATCCACTAAGACTTTGTGTTTGTAATTTAGTGTCAGTGAATAATCAGCATCCTGGTTGCTTCATGGGCATCGTGGATTATACCAGGATATCTAGTCAACCCCTCTAAATAGATTAGATGCTTTTTTTTCTCTGACCTGTAGTTTAGCTCTTGGAACCCCAGGAACGATAAGATTGGGAACTTAGTCTGACCTATTCTGGTGGTCGTTCTGTTCATATCTGATCTTAGCTGGAAGTCCTGGATTTGATGCTCTATGGCGATGCTGTCCAATAGAACTTTCTATCATGACCGAAATGTTCTATATGCTCACTGCCTGATATAGTAGCCACTAGCCACGTGAGGTAACTGAACACCTGAAATGTGGTGAGTGTTATTGAGGACCTGGATTTTAAATTGTAATTAATTTTAATTAATTCAAATTTAACTTTAAATGGTCTTGGTGGCTAGTGTCCATTGGATTGGACAGCACAGTGGCAGGAAGTAAAGGACTTTGAACAAATAGCATCAAGTCCAAGACAAGAGATAAAACAATATGCTATACTTAAACAGTTGCATACAGTGCTTAAAACAAAGTAGAGTTCAACAAATTATTTTTTTTTCAAGAGAATACAACAGAACTTTTAAAGGAAGACCATAGACCATGGCCTCGTAAGGGAATGGTAGATATAATGGTAAATGACACTGATTATTTACTTGGTTTATGACTTTTTTTCTCTTTTTTTGAAACTTTCAGTGGTCTGAAGTGAGTGACTCTCCTAACATCAGATGACATAGGTTGTCTTTCAGTAAGACAAAGGCCTGCATGTACCATGAATGTACTGTGCAGGGTGTTTATGGGGCCTCAGATGATTTGCTGATGTTGAAAGTATTTCAATTCATCTCTATTTCATAGCATCTCAGAGATGTATCACAGCCACTCCAATTCCTAACAAGACTGAGCAAAAACCAGAAGCTTCTGGGTAAAAGGGATTTAAAGTGTTTAGAACCCTTTCTGAGAATTTTAAATTGAGGTATAAAAGGTATAAAAGGAATCTATTTTTTATAATCTCTCTTCTCTTGTCTAAGTCTCTGAACTTTTAAAGGAGGGTGATAGCCCATGCAGAGTAGTAGTCATGAAGGGTCAAAGGACCGCGAGTCAGAAGAGCTGGATGTGAATTCTCACCCCACCCCTGAGTAGCTATGCAAGCTTGGGCAAGTGTCTCAACTTCCCTTAGTGTCCTTGCAAAAGCCATCTTTGCAAAACACTTCCTGACCAAGTCTTCCTCTGCTTGCTGTGTGTCCCCAAGGCTGTAGATCATTTAGAAGCCCAGTTGACATGATTTCCTCCATTTACTCATTGGTAGAAGATGTCAAGAACAATACAAATCTACATGACCTTCATTGTCCACACAAAGCTCTCCATGTCAGCCAAACTGGTTTCATAGAAATTTTTTCCTCTAGTACAGAAATCTGTGGACATTTTTTCATTGTTAATGCTTAAGATGGTGTATGCCAAGGGATTTTGAAGAAAATTTGGTACCATGTAGAGAGAATAGATTCATACTAATATGGCTATTAACACATAATTAATATTATTACAATGTTTTTTCTCTTTGAACTTTTCTAGGTGCATTCGCTCTGGAAATCAATGTCATTTGTCACTGGTTCTAAATTTTATATTTGGTATTTTGTTTTTAGGCTTTTGGTTGATTGTTAATTATTGAGTGTTTACTTACTGTGTGCCAGGTCCATTATGTATATGACTTGTTTTCTTTAAAATAATCTTCCATATTGGTTATTAGTATTCTATTTTTCTAAAAATAAAAAGCTGAAAGGCAACTTACGCAGACTGAGTGACCTCCCAAGACTAGTGGCAGAACTGTCGAGCTCTGTGAGGCTGGAAACACCTGTTTTTCACTGCAGTGTCTCAGGACCTAGAACAATGGCACAAAATAGGTGTCCTCGAATATTGGTTGCATAGATGCATGAATGAATGAATAAAATAGTGAATGAATGCCTGGTCCAAAGTCCCTACTCTTGCCTCTTTACTGTGTTGCTCTCTAGATAAATGAGTGAATGGACAGGACATTCGAATTCAAGTCCATTCATTACATATGCATTGGCCTTGGCTGTGTATGGGGCAGCTATGTGTATGGTAAGTGCTGAAGATAGAGTTTTGGACAGTGCAGATAGGTCTGAACCATCGCGGAGCTTATTTACCATGGCAAACACAGATGCCAAGCACCTCATCATAGGATGATTAATACCATGAAAGAGGAAGAACTGACTGATATAAATTATTTATTTTTGGTTTTCTGGTTTCTAAAATAAATACTATGTTAACCTCTATTTTCTGTTGACAGTTTTTTTTATCAAATTTTATTTTTATTGCTCTCTGATAGCAAATAATGTAATAGAAACACCTATTTTAAGTATGTTTTACATTTGTATTGAAACTCTGCAAGTTGAAAAATAGAAACATTTAAGTATTTATTTTATTTTATTTTTGAGACGGACTCTCGCTCCATCACCAGACTGGAGTGCAGTGGCGTGATCTCGGCTCACTGCAATCTCTGCCTCCTGGGTCAAGTGATTCTCCTGCCTCAGCCTCCCGAGTAGCTGGGGTTACAGGCGCGCACCACCATGCCTGGCTTATTTTTTGTATTTTAGTAGAGGTGGGGTTTCACCGTGTTGGCCAGGATGGTCTCAATCTCCTGGCCTTGTGATCCACCCACCTCGGCCTCCCAAAGTGCTGGGATTACAGGTGCGCCTGGCCTTAAGTATTAAATTTTTTATTGTGATTTGTTGCTTCTTTGATTTGGAAATTGGAATTTGTGATTTTTTCTTCTCCAAGATGCCATACCAGGCCTTGCAGTTTATATTGCAATAGTCTCTAATTCAATGTATCTTTTAAGTAGGAGCAATATTCATTTTACTCACTTTTATAATAGAAAAATAGGCGTTGAGAAATGTAGTTATTTCCAGATAAATATACAATCATGTTAATATGTTGGTTTTTACCTTTATAAAAACTCTTCTCAGGGAATTCTAGTATTCCACCTTCATGATTACATTTTAGTTTTCAATACAGTATCATGTCGTAGTTCACTGACTACCTTTTTAAACTTTTATTTTAGGTTCTGGGGTACATGTGCAGGTTTGATATATAGGTAAACCCATATCATGGGGGTTTGTTGTACAGATTATTTCTTCACTCGGGTATTAAGCATAGTTATAACCCAATAGTTATTTTTCCTGATCCTCTCCTCTCTCCCATCCTCCACCCTCCGATAGGCCTCAATGTGTGTTGTTCCCTTCTATGTGTCCATGTGTTCTCATCATTTAGCTCCTACTTATAAGTAAGAACATGCAGTGTTTGGTTTTCTGTTGCTGCATTAGTGTGCTGAGGATCATGGCCTCCAGCTACTTCCATGTTCCCACAAAAGACATGATCTTGTTCTTTGTTGTGGCTGCATAGCATTCCATGATGTGTATGTACCACATTTTTCTTTATCCAGTCTGTTATTAATGGGCATTTATGTTAATTCCATGTCTTTGTTATTGTGAACAGTGCTGCAATGAGCATTCGCATGCATCTGTCTTCATAATCGAATAATTTATATTCCTCTGCGAATCTGAGTGCCTAGCACAGTGCCCAAGGTTTAACAGCCTCTGACACTTAGTAGGTGCTCAGTAAATGAACTAAATTGACCTAAGCTAATGTTGAAACTCCTCAGGGATTTACTGTGACAGATGAGGCAAAGGTATTGATCATATCCCTTAAAAAACAAAATACCTCTTTTCATAGGTTCTCAATCAGGCTTTTCTAATTCTGGCAACTCAGGATTGTTGAGGCTGTCTAAATTGGCTAGCAGGAAAGAAGAAAAAAATACCCTCGTAATTCAAGAAATGTACTTGTTAAGCTGAAGGGCTTGTAGCCAGACTGTCTGGGTTAAAATGCACTTAACGTGAATCCAGTTACTTTACCTCTGTGAGTCTGAATTTCCACATCTGTAAAGTGGTATATTGTTAGTATTATGTGAACAGTGCATGTAAAGCTTGTATAAATAACAGTTCTTCAGTGTATGTGAACTGTTCATTGTAATTGTCCAGAAAAGGGACATGGATTTTCCTACCAATGGAAGTGATGACATCTAAGGAATATTTTCTTTTAAAAATTTTCTTTACCTTATTTTAGAATTCACTGCTCTTCAGTGGCTTGATATTTTGTTTAAAACTGTTGTATATGGTAAATATAAAGCAACATTTACAATTTTTCATTGTGGCATAGTTCAAACGAATACAAGAGTGGAGGAAATAATATAAAGAACCTTCATGCACACATCACATAGTGTCAACAATGATTCACCACAGGTAAATCTTGTTTCATTTCTACTTCCCCACTTCCTCTATGCCCCAGTTGATTATTTTGAAGCAAATCCCGTATATCATTTAGGATATAAATTTTTTTAGTTTGTACATAAGGCACTTTTAAAGAAGATAAAGGTATATAAAAAGGTAAATAAAATTACTCTGTTATTTGTCTTGGATCCTTAGGTAAGGGACACCTCTTACTCAACGTGCTTTAATTTCTTTTCATATTTACACAAAGAAGTCTTCTTTACTTTTTCTTTTTTTTGTTTTTCTATTGTGGTAAAAATATATATCATAAAATGTACCATTTTAGCTATATTTAAGTGCACAGTTTAATGACAGTAAGTACACTTCACATTGTTGTGCGACCATTATCACCATCCATCTCTAGAACTTAATCTTCCCAATCTGAAACTCCGCACCTGTTGGACAATAATTTCCCATTCCCCTACCAGTCCCATTGCAATCACCATTTGACTTTCTGTCCCTATGAAATAAACTGCTCTAGGTACCTCATATAAGCAGAAACATGTAGTATTTATTCTTTTTTGACTGGCTTATTTCACTTGTATTATATGTGACTGGCTTATTTCCATAGCATAACGTCCTCAAGGTTCATCCATGTTGTAACATGTGCCAGAATTTTCTCCTTTTTAAAGGCTGAATAATATTCCTTTGAATGTATTTACTGCATTTTGTTTATTCATTCATTTAACAATGGGCAGTTGGGTTACTGCTACCTTTGACTATTGTATATAATAGTGCAGTGAACATGGATATACAAATATCTGTGTGGAGTCTCTGCTGTCAGTTCTTTTGGTATACACCCAAAAGTGGGATTGCTGGATCACCTGGTAATTGTACTTTTAATTTTTTTTTTTTTTTTGAGACACAGTCTCGCTCTGTCGCCCAGGCTGGAGTGCAGTGGTGCAATCTCAGCTCACTGCAAGCTCCACCTCCCGGGTTCACGCCATTCTCCTGCCTCAGCCTCCCGAGTAGCTGGGGCTACAGGTGCGCACCACCATGCCTGACTAATTTTTTGTATTTTTAGTAGAGACGGGGTTTCACCGTGTTAGCCAGGATGGTCTCGATCTCCTGACCTCGTCATCCTCCTGCCTCTGCCTCCGAAAGTGCTGAGATTCCAGGTGTGAGCCACCGCACCTGGCCTATACTTTTAATTTTTTGAGGAACTGCCATACCGTGTTCTCTAGTGGCTGCACCATTTGACATCTCCACCAGCAGGACACAGAGGTTCCAATTTCTCCACATGCTCACCAACACTTGTTATTTTCCATTTCTTTGGTAATAGTCATCCTAATGGGTGTGAAGTGGTATCTCATTGTGATTTTGATTCACATTTCCCTAATGATGGAGCATCTTTTCAAGTGCTCACTGGCATTTATATATATTCTTCGGACAATCTATCAGCTTTAAAAGGCAGGTCGGATTGTCCGCACTTTAGGAAGGGCTTTGGCCTATGGACTATACAACCACTAAGATTTCTGTCTAACCAAAACTCTGTTGTTTTTGTTGAAACTTCTGAGCTAGCTTTTTGATCATGGGGAGGTTTTTAAAGTCTGTGTAAATTTTGTAATTGCTTTTTACATTTACTTATTAGCTCACTATCCGCTGAGGAAAGATGAACTGAGCTCCAAAGGCTAATTTGTAATTTCATTAGCAATTGAAATAATCTCATGGAGGTTTTTTCTCTTCTTGTAGCACCATTTGACCTTATTAGAGTGACTGATGTTACTTTCATTTACTGAGATCTCCTTCATTCCACTGGACGTTAAAATAGCACGTGCTAAATCTCTGCCTGGGGGTAATATTTTTAGCTGCTGGTGTGCTGATGGGCCTAATATTTTCCTATTCCTGCCTTTATAGTGAGATTTTTATGATATTCGCTCTTTCTCATAGGACTGTTATTTCTAGCTGACTAATATCCAGGCAGTATAAGACTTGAAGAGTACCAGAGACCAGGTGTGGTGGTTCATGCCTGTAATCCCAGCACTTTGGAAGGCTGAGGTGGACAGATTTCTTGAGGTCAGGAGTTTGAGACCAGCCTGGCCAACATGGTGAAACCCCATCTTTACTAAAAATACAAAATTAGACAGGTGTGGTGGTACGGGCCTGTAATTTCAGCCACTCCGGAGGGTGAAGCAGAAGAACTGCTTGAACCAGGGTGGCAGAGGTTGCAGTGAGCTGAGATTGCACCACTGCACTCCAGCCTGGGTGACAGTGAGACCCTGTCTCAAAAAAAAAAAAAAAAAAAAAAAAGAGTTGAAGAGTGTCTACTTGTACCTGTGTGGATTTGAATCCAGGCTCTCTCGCTAACCAGCTGTATAAATTGGTCAAGTTACTAAACCTCTTCAAGGCTCACGTTCCCTGTCTGCAAACTGGGGTAATAATAGTACCTGCGTCTTAGAGTTGCTATGGTGATTAAATGAGCAAAGACTTAGTACAGGGCCTGGCACACAATAATGCACAGTGTTAGCCGTTGTTACTGGGTTGGTCTGTTTCCTTGTCTTCCTCTCTTTCTCTCTTTCCCTCTCTCCTTCCTTCCTTTTTACTTCCTTTCTTCCTTCCTTTTCCTTCTTCTCCTTCTCCTTTTCCATCATTTTCAATCCTAATAGTTTAAAGGACTAGCAGCATGTAACTCCCTGTAGCCTTTTACACTGAACATTTTAGTTTTAGTAAATATGACAAATTATGTTTTTCATTTTACCAAGTATTTTTACATGTACGTATATATATTCCCATTTATATGTGAAAACCTGTGGACTTGTTATTAATTATTTTCACTTTACAGATGATTTTTATGGAGGCTAAGTGACTTTTCCACAACACACCGAGTAAGTTGCAGACCTGGGACTCACATTGTTCAAGATAATCTTGGACAAGTCAGTTTCTCTCTCTGAGCCTCCATGGGAAGTAGGGATAATAATTTCTGCTTCACGATGGTGTTGTAAGGATCAAATTCAATGACAGAAGAAACCAAACCATTTCTACGATTTCGTGATTGTGTAAATGGGGTGGAATATCTCCATGAGCTTCTGTGTTTTAATGTGGAAAATCAGGATCACACAAAAATAGGGCTTGATGTCCTCCAAACGATGGTTAAATTTGAACAGTTTCTCCTACTGAATAATGCTGCCTAGATGGTGCCTCCCGTTTCAGAGATTTCCCTGGCAGTCCCATCCTGTAAGAGGATTTCTATCTCCCTGCTAAAATATCCTCTTTGCCTTTTGTTTTCTTTGTGTGTAACTCCTTCTGTCACTAGTGTTTTTGCTCTTGCCTTCATCTCTCTCTCCTTTACTTTCTTACTTCTCCTATTTTCCTCCAAATTCAGCCTCTACTTCTCTGAGTCACTATCTAGTATTTTCTTTTTCTTCTAATTTATTTTTCTTTTATCTTCTTTCCATTTGAATGTTTCTCTTATCTTTTGCTTATTCTTATCTTTCCATCCTTAGTTTTCAGGGTTTTAGTTTGAATGAAACCTCAATAATTGACCCTTTTGGGTGATGATAGTGATGAAGCGTAATTAAGAAAAATACTAAGATAATAGTACAGTGAAAATAAATTCAGTTTTAGTTGTTTTAGACCTATGAAATAACTGTTTTTGGAGTTTTCGGATGGGGCAAGCTACCCATATCTCCTGAAGAATCTTATAAATTCTTTAAGGAATATCCCAGATGCTCTCAGAATTATTTTATTATTATTATTTTATTTCTTTGGCTTTGTTTAGTCTCCCCATCCTTTTATTCCCAATGCACTTAAGTTTGGACAGCATTAGTGACTATACAGCATTCCCTCTATTCTGAGGGTAAGAAGAGAGATGTATTTGATTATAACCAAAAAAGTTACCATTCACTTGGTTTTGTGTGAAAAGATTATTACAACCAGCTCTCTCCTTTCACCTGATATCTTAGTCTCAGGCAATTATGCATTCTTTTCATAATATTTCTTTTAATCGATGTGGTGTGGCTTAGTATTAAGTTTTAGTATAGATCATTAGGGATGGGAATTTGAATGGATTCCAACAAAAGAAGTTTATCTGTTGGAAATAGGTTCTAACTCTCCTCATTAACTAGAATTATCTACATCCTTAAAACACATGTGATGGTCTTGCCCTGAAAGTTTATCAGAAACAAATTAATTTACTTGCTCTGTATTGATTTGACTCAAAGCTCACTGTCAATTTATGAAACTGTGATAAACCTTTCTGTCCTTGGTATTTTTTCCCTCTTTTTCTGTAGTAATGGCACTAACCATTTATCTAGGAACATGGCCATCAGAATAAAGATTATAGCTCCCAGGCTCCTACACTGCTAGGCATGGCAAGATAATATATTCCAGCCAATGGGATGCAAACAGCTGGGATGTAATATTCAGAAAGCGCTCTTAAAAAAAGGGCATGCACCTTTCTTGTTTTTCTTTTGTTTTTCTTGCAGGCCAGAATGCAATCATCTTGGCCAGGAGATACAAGCTGAGAGTTTATGACGGTAGAACAACAATGGTCCCTGATGATTACAGGGTCACCATACCTGACCTGCCTACATAAACTTCTTTGCTACAGAAAAATTAGCTTATACTTTCTTTAAGATATTACAATCTGTGTTTTCTGTCACTTGCATCCAAACTGAATTTTAACCAATTCAACAGCCATAGCCAGTGCCTTTTAAGAACAATCTATTTGCTCTCTAGGAATAAATCTAGTCCTTTAAACAACTTAACAGCGAGACTCTGACTTTGATTATGCATATGGTTCAATTTAATGTAGCAAACATTTATTGAATAATTATTATATGCAAGGCCTATTCACAGTAGCAAAGACATGGAATCAACCCAAATGCCCATCAGTGATAGACTGGATAAAGAAAGTGTGGTGTGTATACACCATGGAATACTACGCAGCCTTAAAAAGGAAAGAGATCATGTCGTTTGCAGGGGCATGGATAGAGCTGGAAGCCATCAATCTCAGCAGACTAACATAGGAACAGAAAACTAAACACTGCATGTTCTCACTTATAAGTGGGACTGAACAATGAGAACAGATGGACACAGGGAGGGGAACGACACGCACTGGGGCCTGTTGGGGTTGGGGGGCAGAGAGCATCAGGATAAATAGCTAATGCATGTTGGGCTTAATACCTAGGTGATGAGTTGATAGGTGCGGCAAACCACCATGACACACGTTCACCTATGTAACAAATCTGCACATCCTGCATGTGTATCACAGAACTTAAAAAAAATTAATATGTGCAAGGCAATTTGCTAAAAGTGGCTGGGGATAAGGAATCAGTGATGATGATAATATGTTCTTTATCAGAGTACTGTACAGTCTCAAGATTGAAGGGTAAACAGATTTACAAGTAATTTCCAGTATACATATATATATTTAATATATAAGATATAAACATATATTTGTATATAATATACTATATATTATCTCTTATAACAACTTCATAAAATTAATAGGATAGTTATTCAAGTTTTTAAAATTGCCATTTTCCTACAGTGAAAGCCTGGAAAGGTTGTCATTTGCCCATGTCAAAGAATAAATGCAAATGAAAATGTTCTGATTCATTATACTGCCAGCTCAGTATGCTAGGGGTAAGAAGAAACATTTTTTTAAAATATTTGAGCTTATTTTCTTACCCTGGAAATTGGTTCCTCATGTGACAGGTTCTGTAGCTGAAGAATCTTTTCTTGTAATGTCTTTGCTTGCTTGGAAGTTTAGCTGATTTAAAAATGGAATGCTTTTACATAATAAAGCAAAAGCTGCTTAAAGTTGTAGAGATAGGCCAGTACTGGATAGATTTATTTCAATGCTATATTGGATACACTATTTTATGTTTAGAATCATTTGGTTTAGCATATTTATGAAAAGTAGTATGAATTTCCCCCCTCGGTACTATCTTTGGTGGAAATTGTACATTCTTAACCATGGAGATGAGTTCCTCCTGAGTTGGATTTTAACAGAGTCAAATAAGCACATCAATTTGTGGCACCTCAATATATAAAAAATAGCTACACAACAAAGCAAAATATGAGCATTCTTGCCATCACATAATGCATGTATTCCTTTTAAAAATCTCACATTCTGAAAAATCACTCACTAAAAATAACTGACGTTTTGAGGAAAATAGAATTGGAACAGATTACTCAAAACATTTTAAACACTCAAAACATTTAATGTTATAATTAAACACTAACCAAAACAATAGTGAGCTTATGGAAAATACTAGCACAATTATAAGAACATGTTAATGTCCCTGCAAATAAATAATCCAGTAAATAAAAGAGTTTACCTTTCAAATTGAAGGGGAAGGTAGGTTGGTGGAAGAGTATGTACGGAAGTACTGAGTTGCCTGAGTTATGAAAATGAAGTCAGAGGAGCATTGGCACCAGAATTTGCAGGTGGAGGAGCAGTGACAGGCTTAGTATAAAACGGTTCTGGCTCCTTCTTGAGTGTTTGCTTGTGTGTTTTGTGCATTGAAGTGTGCAATAAATACTTTGGAAACCGTGCATTTAGTGAGATGGAGCCAAGAGGAAGAGCGTGGTATAATGGGCCGCACATTCAGTACTGTATCTCTGCATGACTTGTCCATCCTCCTAGCTGTGTGTACTTTGTGTTGAGCTGCTGTGTCTTGGTGGCACAACATACAGTATGCTAAGAAAAATTGTGCAGGAACCAGTGGGGCTTCCATGTTAGACTGCAGTGATTCCCTGATTTCCCAATTGTGTGGGGTCTAATTCTTGCTACAGCAATATACTCTGGTAGAACACACTGTCCATTAAATGATTGTTCAACTTCTGGTTGTTCAACTGGAGAGGCCGTTTGAGTCAGGGCAAGAAACAAAATGAGTATGTTTGAACTAAGGATGATACAAGGACAAGAGGCATGAACAATGGAGTACAGAATGGTGGAAAAGAGAAAAGAAATGTTTTGAGAACCCATCTTATGCCAAATTTTATTTTGTTTGATTTTCCTAACAGTCCAGTAAGGTGAGTGTCATCTCTCCATGCTACAAATGAGGAAAATGAGGCCTAGAAAGTGTAAGGATTTTACCCAAGATCACACAGATGGAAAATGGTGGTGTCAAGATTTGAAATCTAGCCTGCCTAACTCCACATCTTGTTTTTCTCTAAACTATACCAAGCTACTTCCCTACTGGGTTGGAATATGGATTCTGAAGCCCATGTGTTTAAGGCAGTGAGAGACCACTCTGTGGCTTTGTGAACTTGAGTGAGTCTTTTAAACTCTCTGAGCCTCTTTATCTTCACATATGAAGGTGCCAGGAATATCCTATTCCAGAGGATTATTGTGATAACTGTGATAAGTTACATGCAATTGTTTCATAAATGTTAAAATGTTATGCAAGCAATAAGGCGTTTTATTTTCCCTCCACAAAACTTCCACTTCTTCACATTAAAAATGATAATAAATAACCTTGAAGATTACAGGGTTAATCATTCATATAGTCCTAAGAAAGAAAAGAGTTTCTGGAATGGGACAAAGATGTTTGGTTCCAAAACAGAGTGCATCTGTGTGTTAAGAAAGCCGAAGGAGGAAGCATGAGTTACAGCTGCAGACACTGTTGAAATGTAACCATAAAACCAAACAGGTGGTGAGTCATTCAATCCTGTCCTAGGGTTTCTGCAGAAGCAATAATATTTCTGTCTGGATTCCTATGTTTTAGGGATTATCCTTCTCTTAGTTTCTACTTCCTCCCCTTCTTTCACATACATCCTATGATTGAATATTTCAAAATCTTAAGAATGTGTGGAGGTGGCATGCTCTGCAAATATATTTTGTAAGATCTAGGTGGTCATATGGTCACATAGGTGGGGCTCAGGAAGACTTAGTGCTAAATGAAGTCTGATGATGCCTCTTAGAAGTTGGACACTCTCTGCAGCATTTCCTTTCTTAGTTCTACTGGGACATGTGGCTCTAAAGCGAATCTGATGTGCCATCAAAATATTTTAGCCTCTCTACTCCTCAGATAATTTTGGTTATACCAAGGCTATGTAGAAAAAGTGGTCTGGGATAAGAATCTTGCTACTAGTACTTATCTTTAAAAAAAGTCTTCTTCATAAAAAATGTTGGATGCTATAAAAAAAAGGAAAAAGAAGAAGAAGAAGCAATCATAATCACACTACTCTAACATAACAACTCTAAAATATTTGATTAGTTCTTTTATATAGTGAAACACACACTCATATCAGCAGTGTATCAGTAGTGGTGCACTAGAGCCAGTTTAGACAGTTTTTAATATCTCCCTGAATCCACAACCCCATATTGATGTTGAAAAATTGAAATTAGCCATGGTTGGAGTATTTGTATCATGGGAAGTGGCAAATGCTGTAAATCAAGGCTTCTCCTGCAGCCCCTGGAAAACTGGTTGATGAAGAGCATCTACCAGCACATCACTCTGCGTGTGTGTGTGTGTGTGTGTTTTAAAATCTTTTGAGCTCTTTAAGAACAGGATCTTTTTGTGATTTTTGTGT